>NC_000002.12:52614594-52917625 GCF_000001405.40 Homo sapiens
GTAAAGTCAGTTACTTGTTAGGTCACAGGCAAAAGCAGCTACTGCAGCTATTAGCAACATCAGCTGATGTTAGGGGCCAATCAATGTAGGCAGGCAGTTAGAATAACCAGGAAGAGAATGGTCTCAGATGAGTAAAAAATCGATTTTCATAAGACATATACACTGAGAATCAGGGTCATTTATCTGCTGTTGGCTATATCTTCCTGGTCACTTAAAATGAACAAATGAGAAACTCTTGTTTTTGTGTGGCTTTATGTATAAGCTAATTGTTTGAAAGAGACCATGATAAGGCAATGATTGTCAAATTTGAATGATTATTAGAATTTAATGATTGCCAAAGTTTTATATGATCCTTTGATAATTTTCTCATAATTTTTTTTTCTGGACGAATATAACAATGCATAGAAAGTGTTATATCTCACCAGCAGCAATCACTTTGCTTCTGGCTCTCTTTTCACTTATTTCACTGACCACGTATCACAGTCTCCAATTGGGAACACAGATATAGACAGGAGGCAGGGAAATACTAGGTAAAAAAGGGCAGGTTCCCTGGCGAGGGCTCCACACTCAAGCCTGGACCCACAGCCCTAAGTAAGAATTCCTGTTTCCCTACCTAAATGTCGTTTTTATCAAAACCACCCTGGCTTGCCCCACCCCACACTGTACCCATAAAAACCCCAAGTTCCATTGGCAGAGAGGTGGCAGAGCAGTAGAGTGGTACAGATAAGAAGAGGCATCTGAAAGTCAAGGGGAGAAGAAGCAGCTGGACATTGGAGATTATGGTGGGAGAGGGGTTTGGTGGGGGATGGTCAGACAGGGATTTGGCCATGAACAGCAGAATTCCAGGGAAAGACCACCTTCCTACTCCATCCCCTTTCCTGCTTCCCATCCCACTGAGAGCCATTTCCACTGCTCAGTAAAATCCTCCACATTCACCACCCTCCAATTTGTTCATGTGACCTCATTCCTCCTGGACACTGGACAAGCACCCAAGTGTGGGTGCAAGAGGCTACCACAATGACCCCCCACTGAGCTGTTTAACACTTAAGCCATCCACGGGTGGAAAAGCTAAAGGAATGCACTGTAATACACACCGACTGGGGCTCTGGGGGTTGTGGGCAACCTCTAGACACTGCCACGGGGCCATGCAGAGTTCTACTCCTACTGCCACCCAGAAGCACTCGTCCTGGCCTCTGCAGTCACTCATCTACATGCTCCCCCTCCAACAAGGGGTTTGAGAGCTGCGGACTGAGTAAGCGAACCACCCCTTCACGAAGTCAAGGGAACTATCCCATCTCAACACTGTATACTTCCTTTGCCAAAATGTAGGTCAGATACTCCTAGCCTGGGCAGCTAACATTGTAGTGTCAAGATCCTTTTTTGCCTACAATCCTTACCTTTCTTCTTATAATTTCTCATTAACCAGTTTATCTGATATTTCTAACTCATTATTCCTCAATTTGTTTGCTTAGGATATATTGATGTAATAGATGTCTACTTACCTAGGTTGTCTCATGAAATTTGCCTGAGCTTTCTGATATAGTCTACTTACCTTTGCTTCTACATTCAAAGAAATTCAAGATTTATTTTGCTGATGTAAGAATAAAAAAAGAGGTTTATCAAACAGCATCTTCCCATTATCTAGTTCCATTAGATTTCCAGGCACTTGCTACAGGAATAAAATTGAGAATGTAGATTTTAAGTAGACCTGGGTGGGAGAACATTAGCTTAGCTATTGCTGATATATCTCAACCGAACCCCAGAAGTTGCAGAAAATAGACAGTAATGAATACTTGAAACAGCCTATAGCTTTTATACCTTCATATACCATGAATATCTAGTCCATCAATCAGATTATATGAGTAAAGCAGAGAATATTACTTGATTCTCTATTGTTATCACTTTCTCAAAAGCAATTGAAATGGAGAGTAATAAAAATCATACTGAAAAGAACTCAAGCACTCTTTAAAGATTTTTGTTTAAAAAGAAAAACATCTCACTGGGATTTAGGTAAAAAAAATAAGAACACTTGAGGAGGAATTAAAACAAAATATTTTTTTCTTCTCTTTTAAACAAAATGATTGTTTAACACTCACACACCTACAGATACCCACCTTTTTTTTCCATTTTAAGACAGACCTTGAGATTCTTTCATGTAACCATGTTTCCATTTAATATTCACACTTCAGGCCCAGCCTTTTCCAGTGGAGTTTCTGTATAGCACAGAATTCTCATAGCACTATAGACCATTGATCTGAATCCTCAGAAAATGTAGAACTCTGACACCAGACAGAACTCTCTTAGGCTTTTGAAAGGAGGATGGTGAAGTATACTTTGAAATGGCATCTGAATCTATTATCCCAAAGCCCAGAGCCATTAGATGAATCTGGTTTGAATGTCAGTGTTTTCTGTCATAATCACGTGTTATCTTCACCTAGGTTCCCATTTGTTCCCTCAACATTTTTTCTTTTCATTAAGCTTTTGCCATCTTTTAGTGGGGGCAAAGGCCTTTTAAAATCCTTTTTGGGAGTTTTACTTACACATATATTTTCCTTCTTGATTGCATATTAGGTAAAAAACAAAGTATATGCAAATCATTATGTACCCTCAAGTCATTATGTAACCTCATTTATATAAGATACTATAAGGCAACACAGGATATCAACTGGCACAAAGGTGATTATATAAACTTCTCACAAACACCAAATTCTCAGAACAATGTCTAAATTAAAATCCAGAAACAGTATGTTTACACCCTGGCTGGAAGCCAGATATTCCTTTAAATAATCGGGACTTCTAGAGATTTTATAGGAACATGTTTTTTATTCCAAAATCACCTATTTTCCTCTCCTCCAAAACCACTTTGCTCCAAACTTTATAGATCCTCTTTCTTTTAAGAATAGCATCATTCTCCCAATCACCCAGTATCAAAACTACAGGCTCAAATTTGACTGCTAGCTTCTTGCTTCTCAGTAGGTTGTCAAATTAATCAATGCTACTTATACAAAACAGCTTCTTGCCATCTCTTCTTCTATTTTCACTACCCTATTTTGGGTCTCCCCAAATCTTCACAGTATGTCTAAAATCTAAGTGGCATTCAAAGTTTTCTGTTCTGTCTCTCAGTCCTGTATTGCCAATCTATTCAGCAAGCAAACTACTGTCGTTCCTTTCATCGGGGCCTTTGTTAGTTTTTTGTGCCCAGAATAAACACCTCTCTCATTTCCATCTGTCTGTCTCTCATCGATCTTTCAGATGGCAGTACAAATACCATTACGCTGGAAAGCCTTCCCCAATTTCCACGAATGACAATCATCACTCACTGCTCTGAATTCCTATGCACTTAATTATCATAGACCCCACTCTCTCTCATTATAATTATTCATGCATTTCTTTTTCTGGTAGACTGTAACACCCTTGAAGGCAGAAACAATGATAAATCCAATTTCTTTTTTCCATTATCTTTTTGAACATAAATGAATATTCAACACATTTAGGTAAAAATATATATGTAACATTTTAGTGCTAACATTTTAATAGATAAATTGGTCCTTGGTGCTGTCTAGGTAACAAATGGATTCGCATGAGCAGGGAATGAATCAGCACAGCCATTTGATGGGATTTTACCCTGCTTTACATTACCTGGTCACCTTTGTCATAAACGCTCTTTGCCATTACCTGTTACCTAGTCACCTTCGTCATAAATGCTCTTGGCTCTAATCCGAATGGATCAGAAAGAGGTAAAATCCCTCCATTTAAAAGGGACATTAAAAAAATATTTTCAGGTATAAAATTCAAATAGAGGAAGGTGACAAGAAAGGAAGCTTATTTCTTGTTCCAAAAGTCTAGTCAATATGATAGTCTCATTAATGCAGTAAGTTAGCCTGAAACTGCTTTTTCAAGTGGAATGCTATTCACCGTGGACTTTCATAATCAATATTCTAGTAGCCTTTTCACACACCTGTTTCACACCTGATACAACTTTTTTGTCCTTCAGAAAGACCAGCAAATCCAGCAGAGAATTCATGAACTAAAAATTCCTTTTAACAGATTTTTACCTTAATATGCAAGTTCAATGACAACTGAAAAATCAACTGCAAAAGAATAATTTAAATAAAAATTGGGGGGAAAGCGAAGAATATGAAGTGGCATGTTTCCAATTAAATATAACACAAAAACAGCGTGAAAATGTAAAAAAACAAATCCTTTTCACTTGGCAGGAGCTGCTCTTCTAGTAGCCCTGTATTCTCCATCAGAAAAGTGCCAACGGCCATTTGAAGATGAAAAACAGAAAACAGAACTTCTTTCACAAGAAAAAATAAGGGCAGTTTATTAAGGAATGCCATTTCCAGATGACTCCCTTGTACAGAGTAATAAAAATCATTTTAAAAAATTAAATAGAGCACTTGGAGACAAATACAACTTTTCTGTTGAGGAAGATATAAGAACTAGGATTCACCTTCAATCAAGTATATGAATGGGAGGAAAATAAAAACCACAGAAGAAAGAATATCAAAACCCAACGAAATTCAGTGGCACACACAAAAACTGGAAATATATTTACTTTTTGAATGCATAAATAATGATTTCTGAGTCTTGCTTACATTAATACACTTCTGTTGTTGCCATCCTGTACCACAACTTTCAATTCACATAAAAAATATACTCAGAAAAAGATTTTTATTTTCTTCAAAGCCAAACAGCAACAAAGAGAAAGAAATCAAGAGAGGGAGAGAGAAAGAAAGAGAGAGAAAACCTGTAGAGTTAACAGAAACTGAACACTCTTTTATAAAAAAAAATAAAGATTTGCTTGCAAATAAGAAAAGTGAAAAGTAGAGAGTGCTAAGTTAGTATCTGCTGGAAGGACTGAGGCAACTTCAAGTCAAATAAGTATAACCTGGTGCTATTAGAATAAATTGTGACCCCTCCTAAAATATACGTGTGTGTGTGTGTGTGTGTGTGTGTGTGTGTGTGAGTTCTGAAGCTCTAGCCACCAATGTGACTGTATTTGGAGATAGGGCATATGAGGAGGTGATAAAGGTTAAATGAGGTCATAACCATAGACCGCTTAATCCAATAGGATTGTTGACTGTGCTGCTTAATTTTATGTGTCAACTTCACTGGACTAAGAGATTACCAGGAAGCTGGTAAAACATTATTTCTGGATATGTCTGTGAGGGTGTTTCCAGAAGATACTAGCATTTGAATTGATGAACTGAGTAAAGTAGATAGCTCACCCCAGTGTGGGTACCATTCAATCTGTTGAAGGCCCATATAGAACAAAAAGGCAGAAGAAGGGTGAATTATCATTCTGTGTTTGAAAGGTATCGATCTTCTCCTGCCCTCAGACACCTCCAGGACTTTCACCACACCCACCCTCCACTCCCACCCCTACCCCTACCCTTACCCCTAGTCCCCAGGCCTTTGTCCAGGAACTGGTATTTATACTATTGGCTCCCCTGATTCTCAGGCCTTTGGGCTCAGACTGAATTACACTATTAACTTTCCTGGTCCTCCAGCTTGCAGACAGCAGACCATGGGACTTTTTATCCTCCATAATCATATGAGCCAATTCCCATTATATAGATCTCTATTAATCTATCTATCTATCCATCTATCTATCTTTCTATCTATCCACATACTTCTTTTTGGTTATGTTTCTCTGGAAAGCCACAACTATGATATGGTATTATACTGGCCTTATTTTTTGTTGTTTATTTATTTATTTTTCTTTATACTGGCCTTAGAAGAAGAGAAAGAGAGCTCCCTCTTCCTCTCTTATGCTCTGTCATGTGAGGACATAGTGATAAGCTGTAGAACTTTCAGAAATAAATTTCTATTATTTAAGCCACCCAGTCTATTATATTTTTTATAGCAACTCAGGTTGAGTCACACACACAGATAAACTGTCAAACTGATTGTAGCCTTAAGAGGGAGAAATTAGAGATTCTTCCATCCATGCAATAAATAAATACCTACCAAGTCTACTAGTTGTCAGTCATTCTGCTGGGTGCTGAGATTTAAATATAAACCAAAGTGCCAGGTTCCCTATCTTCAGGAGCTCACAGCCTAGTTGGGGAAAGAATATTATTTAAATATTCCCAGAAATATATAGTTACCAGTTACAGTATATGCTTTGAGGAAGAATTATAAGGAGATTATAGGCAGGAAAAGCAGTGGGGACAAATCCATTCTGAGTGTCCTGGGCAGTCTTCCCTGAGGAAGTAACCTTTCAGCTGAGAGAAACAATCAGTGTGAGTTGATATGGCTAATGAAAGAGGGAAGGGAGAGAGCAGGAAAGATGGAGGAAATGCCCTGTACAAAGTCCCTGTGGAGGGGGTGATGCATTTGAGCCATCTTGTCCTTACAGATTTTATAACTTAGTATTGTTAATCAAAGTATGGGGAACAAAAGCTTCTGAGAAAGTAAAAATATTTCCCATATCAGGAAAAACAAAGTGCCCTTTCTTACTGGGCAAGGAAATAAAAAGATCTCAAAATTTATCACAGATACCCTGAGGACTCAGGGACAGTGTGATGTATAAGGCAGTGAGTAGCATCTGGAAATGATACCAAATGGGACAAAAACAAAATGGATCCTCTCAAGTTTCATTGCTCTTTTGAGCTCTTAACCCAAGTGGCCTGTGTTGTTGTCATGGGAATGAATCTCAGCAAAAGAAATCAATGAGTTAAAAATAAGAGTGAGAGCAATGATAAACTTAATTTGCCTCAGTGTCTGACCTCTCTTGAACATGAAAGTATTGCTAGAGGAAGTAAGAAAAGGGATGAAGATTCCTCCCAAGAAAGGAATCTGTTTGGCCCAACTCATTCTAGGATGCCAGGCTATACAATGTGATTACTGTCAAGCTTTATAATAAAAGAAGTCTTGGATCATTTCCTTCCAGGTTCCAACATGATTACAGGGAGTGGAGTGGGATTCTGCAATTGTTCCTGCAGTTAATGAGTAAGATTTCATTAGAAGAAGCTGTCAGGAAAAGCAATGATTCAAATCTAGTACAGTTTTACAAAAAGGCAGTCACACATGATTTTAGGGACCTTTTAGTTCTGTCAAATAATAAATAAAAACACAGCTCTAAATATACCACAAAACATCATTAATTTAGCTTGAGGGGTTATCTATTTAAGTTCAGATACTCCTTTTTACGAATAATATTGAAAGTTTGATCAATCATTTAAATCTTCATATGAGATAGTTTCTTACATCTTTCCTTGAAAAGAGATTTTGAAAGGAGTAGGGTAATTTATAGGTCTTGTTGCTGAAGTTTAAAGATATAAAAGAAGGCTGAAGAGGTGTAGATTGTCTTTATACACTAAATAATTATGAATAGAAGGAGGAGTGATTCCATCCCCTAATATCCTCATCTTCTCTTATTCTTGGTCTTCCTGGTATATTCTTTAAAAAGCAATCACAAAGTTTTTGCAGCAGATGTTTTGTTCAGAGACCTACTTTGAAATGTTAACTTCCTTTATTTTCAGGAGCAGAACTACAGTTCCTTTTTTAAAAGTCAAAACAATCCTCATTGGAAACTCTAGTCCCTCTGAATCTGAAGCATCCACAGAAAAAAAGTACTCTGGGAGGAAATCAGGTTTCAGCAGTTTTATTTGCAGCTTATTGATTAACAGAAAAAAACAGAAGTAAAATGGGGCTCTGTCTCTGAAAATGAAAAGTCCAAGAAAAGCCAAATGGCTGAGCCCGTGTTCAGTAATGCAGAGCAGCAGCAGTGCATGGGAAATCTGTTCCACAGCCTACGCTTTTCTGCCTGTGCACCACAGAATCAGAAAATGAACATTTTACCTCAACCCAGTGGCCAAAAGTTATTCACAAAGGCCTCTGCATTGGCATCAGTGCATTAGCTACTTGAAAAATAGGTCACTAAGCTAAAGCAAATCAGCATACAGGATGACATGGCAACCACAAATGAAAAGTAAGAATTTAATATATCTTGGGCCTGACTTCTTATTAACACTAAAATAATTCACTTCTAAGAAGGGCTCAGCAAGCCTACTGGATCAGAATTAAGGAGAATAACCAGATCTTTTTATGTGGCATAAGCCCTGATGCCATTCTACCCTCTGTAGCCAATTCCCCTACCCACTGCCTTGTATTCAGGAAAGAGAAAGGCAGGTGGCTAACATCAAGCAGGCAACTAAGAATTCCTTGCTACATGGGTTACTGAGCTTCCTCTGTTATCCTCTTAGAATATCACGATACTCACCCTTTAACAGTGGTACTTCATTAACGCCTGGCTAACTCCCGTCATACTTACCATATCTACGCCGTTTAGGAAAAATCATTCTGAGCCTGTAAGCTTCAGTATTTTTACCTAAAATAAAAATGGTATATATAACATCTAAATGTCCTTGAACTCTATAACCACGTAAGGAAAACATATCTATTCAACCATAATAAAAGGCTGATTGTGGTAAGTGCAGAAGCAGCTAGCATTAAGGGAGTTATTGCTGGGTCACTGGCACAACTCTATGAGAGGGGATTCCTTATCATCCTGATTTGACAGATGAGGGCATGAGGTTTAGAGTTGTCAGGTGAACTCATTCAAAGTCATACTGTCGGTCAGTGGAAAAACTAGGATATTATTTTCTTTGGTCTACTTCCACTGTCCACATTCCTATAGGATAATAAGGAGTGACTTAATGAAATTAGGGTTTTACTAGAAAAAATAAATTAGGATTTAGTCGTGCGGAGATGGCTAGAGGAACTGTTCCTAGTTCTCATCAACTTAACACGATGGAAAGCAAATTTGCTTTGGAAATAGGAATCCTTCTTTCAAGTTCTACCTTTGCATGAAGCTATCTAGGAAAGGTAGAAGAAAAGATAAAGGAAAATGGATTTTATTTTGGCTTTACAAAACAATTAATGCAGGATATAGGAAACTAATGTTGTGTAGGCATTGGAATAAGCCCTTGACTGTTGTGGAAAAATATAGTATTCAAACAATCAATGTCTAGAGTTTATTCTTTACAACGAAGCATCATCAACTCACTTGCCTTTGAGGAAAGGCAAAGAAGGGGATGGTAGGTAGATGGTGTTAAGGGTCTAGTGTGTGGTTGCCTAAGGTATTCTGTGCACAGGTATAGCTCTTACTGTCAGAATCTCCTCTGCACCAAGCCACAATTCGTTTGAATGTTTACCACTGTCTCAAATGTATTATTTATGTTTGGTGTAATTTATTTTATTTCATTTTATTTTTGAACAGAGATAAACATTCACTTACACTAACCCTACAGAAGATACCACTGGAATCACATTTTGAATCCTTCTATGAAAGCCATTAATATTTGTAGTTATCTCAGTATTCCTCTTTGATTTATCTGACTTTCACAATATGAGGGAAAAAAAGAAAGTACAGACAGCTACCAAGTATGGACACTTCTTTTACGTACTTTCCAGAAAAATATATTACCAGGATAGAAAAGTATTTACACATTAAAAATAGAATTATTGTTCTAGAAAGAGTGTGATGAGATCCTGTTTAAGTGTGCCTCCTTTTTCTGTCAAAGAGGAAAGAGATTTGATGGCATGTAAGAAGCAAGGGGAAAAAAGAGAAATTGTTTTTCATTATCCCTTTTAAAACAAGTTAATTTGGACATATAAGGGAGATTCTACAGTATTAAGGTTAAAAGAAGACACATAAATCTTATTTTAAAACTATGAATGCCCCAGATACGGCTCATTTAGAGCAAGCACATGGCATCTTGTCTCTCCCACTGAATGCAACCATCTGAGGACTTTGGAAAGGAAACAGTAGCAAGTAAATTGGGGAAAGATGTTAAAACTCAATGTACAAATGATCTGATCGTGAGTGTGTATTTTTCCCTTCCTCCCATATTTCCCAGCCTATATGTACTTAAAGGCAGTGCACATCTCAGAACTACACATGAAGTGTAGACAGAAATAGCTCCAAAGTAATCCCCTATCCTTCTGGTATGAGTAGAAAGGAGGCCATAAAGTGTAGGAAAAATTCCTGGTTTTTTTTAATTTTATTTTTATTTAGCTCCTCTTATGGAAAATACACAGCAGAGTGAGGAGGCTGGTCAGTTTTCTATACAAAGGACCATGAAGGGAGAGGGAGATGTGTATGTAGATGTAATTCATGACAACTAAAACTTAAAGGGGGTGGGAAGGTAAAGAAACATATGACTTTAAGTATCTACATTTCATTTGAAATGGTAAAATATTCGTTCTAAATAAACTCTGAAAAGTTGAAGTATGAAGCTAGACAGTGTTGAAAAAAGAGCAGAGAAGAGGATACTTGAGAAAGGTATCTTGTAAAGATGTAGGTGAATTCATAGGCTCCCCCTGAGCTGCACATGCATGGATCTGACTTAAAAAAAATACCATACAGGTAGCTTTGAGAAAATAAGCATGGAATAGATTACCATTTATGTCTAAAACTGTCCTCTGGGCTGCATATATTTTGAGACAGATGCAAATTGCACTGCAAACAGTTTTGAAAACAACTAAGGGAATCAATGCAGTATGGCACTCCTGGCCTCAACCTAACTGGGTCAACGGTTTACTATAAAAATACTAACTACATTCTCCATAGGATTTAAAAAGACCCACATCTCATAACACAATATTGAAAGTGTCTGAAATACAATCAACATCTAATCAATATTCAAAGAACCCAGAAATTCTGACAAAATCTCATGAGAAAAGACAATTGACAAAACAATCCCAAATAGATCCTGATGTTAAATTTAAGAGACAAAGAATTTAAAATGTTTCTCTAAGAACAAAGGGCATATACTTCTGAAGCAAATGAAAAATAGAAAGTCTCTGCAGAGAAGTAAGATATTAAAAAGAATGATCATTTTGGAACTGGAAATTTTAGAACTGGGAAACACAATAAACAAAATTAAAAATTCACTAGATGGGCTCAATAGCAAAATTAATATGTCAATGAACTTGAAGACAGATCAATAAAAATGACCTAATCTGACCAAGAGATTTTTTAAAAATTGAAAAGAGAGCACTTCTGATACCTGTAGGACAATATAACAAGGTCTAAATTTGGCGTCATATAGGTTGCAGAAGACCATGAGAAAGAATGTGATTGCAGAAAAATTTCAAAGAAATTAAGGTGGAAATCATCTCAAATTGGTAAAAACATAACTTTAGAGATTCAAGAGGCTCAGCAAAGCCCAACCAGGAAAATTTCAAAGAAAATGCTGTAATTAAATTGTAATTAAAATGCTGAAAACCAAGGACAAAAAAAACCCTTGAAAACAGGCAAGGAAAAATGACTCTTCAAATTATTACTGATTTCTTAGAGGGAACTATAGAGATCAGAAGGTAATGGAACATTTGTGAAGTGCTAAAATAAAAGAATGGTCAACACAGAATACATAAAGTGTAAACATCCTTTAGGAATGAAGACAAACTACAAACATCCTCATTCTTAAATGAAAAACACTAAGAGAAGTTTTCACCAGCAGATGTAATCCAAAAGAATGTTAAAAGAAGTTATTTTGGCAAAAGGAAGTGATACCACAGGGAAACCTGGAACATGGAGGATGCAGGAGAAGCAACAGAGATGCTAAATATTTCATTAGATATATAAGCCCATTTCTCTCCTTTTTAATTCTTTAAAATAAACATAACAGTAGAAAACAAAAAGTACTGCTTAGTGTACTGGGATATCCAATACATGTAGATGTAATTCATGACAACTAAAACTTAAAGGGGATGGGGTGGTTAAAAAAAAACCATGATTTTAAGGTATCTACATTCCATTTGAAATGGTAAAATATTAATTCTAAGTAGACTGTGAAAAGTATATATGTTGTAATACCTTAAGCAATCCCCTGAAAAATAAAATTACATTCAAAAATCTAATAGATAAACAACACACACATAAAAAGTTACTTTTATGGCATGTTATTATAATTTCATTGTAAATCAACGCATGTGTACACACACATACACAGAGGTTTTGTGCCCCAAGGAAATTTTAGGTTGAGGAAAATGACCTGTATTTTGAATGTGGTAGGAGTGACATGGGTTAGGATTCAAAACCACTCATCAAAGTGTTCGCTCAAATGGGTCTTTTTATTATATGCTAATTATGCCTCAATAAAGTTGATGTTATAATAAAAGCAAAACAGTGTGTACCTTGAGAAAGGTAGCTGTGGCTCTAAACGGCTTATTAGATTCAGATATGTGAAAAATAATATCTAAAATTATTCTCATTTCTGAATTATTTCTTGTTCAAATTTTAGGCATAATTTCAGTTATAGATACATTATATATTACAAAATAGTTCTGAGAAGAACAACTGTGGCTAAGGGCAAGTATGCAAAATTTTCCATAATGACAGAAGAGGATTGGTAGCATTCTTTGAGCTTAGCAAAGGGAATTAAAATAATAACATTCAATTCAGCCAAACATATTCCATGTGCTTAAAAATTGAAGACTATGTACCATTAATTAGTCATTAATTAATGTCATTAATTAATGACGAATAAAAATATTTAAAATTTTTTTTATGGATTTTATTCTGTTTCTCACTACAGAATCTCAAGGTCTGAAGAGATCCTATTTGTTGAGTATTTTCTGAAAAAATGCCCTTTCCTAATGCTACAATGTATAATGCAAGGGATGGAGTTTAATTTGGCTTTTTTTACTCTCATCCGCTACAAAAGAATTCCACAATATTAGCAAATGAATAATTATTTAATGTAAATGTACACGCCTGTCCTCAGAGTGATGTTGACAGTTTCACGTATTGTGAATCTCCATGGATATCTCCAGCCCATAAACTTTCTTATTGTTTTTTCTTAATTGACACAGCCTCTTCAGCCCTCAGGTTACTAAAGAAAAACTATTGCTTGTTTTTAAATTTTAAGGATAATAAATGAAATGGAGTTGTTGTGGGAGAAGACCCTTTGCCCCACCCCACCCCACAAAAATATTTATATCTTTTTTTAACAGTTTCCGAACATCAGTAAAACAAAATGACATATGAAGAGTGAAATACTATTTCTTTTACTTTTTTTTTTTTTTTTTTTTTTTTGAGACAAGTCTTACTCTGTCACCCAGGTGGGAGTGCAGTGGCGCAATCTCGGCTCACTGCAAGCTTTGCCTCCTGGGTTCACACCATTCTCCTGCCTCAGCCTCCCCAGCAGCTGGGACTACAGGCGCACGCCGCCACGCCCAGCTAATTTTTTGTATTTTTAGTAGAGACGGGGTTTCAGAGTGTTAGCCAGGATGGTCTCGATCTCCTGACCTCGTGATCCGACCACCTTGGCCTCCCAAAGTGCTGGGATTACAGGCGAGAGCCACCGCACCCGGCTATTTCTTTTACTTTAAATGCTAAATTAAAGGTCACAGCTTAGTTCTGAGAACTAAACAGACACCTAACACTGAACCCAAGCATTAGACAAACTTACCCACCCAGTCTCTCTCATGGTCAGAGGTAGCAGAAAGCAGGAAGTACCTCTGGAAAAGCTGAACAACTTGTGTGCTTAGTAGGCAGCTTACTTCAATTTTAAGAGTTTGAAGAAGTGATAGATCTAAGCAAGCAAGTTTATTTTTTACTTCCTCCCAATTTTACCAGTCATATATCACTCCCCTGCCCTGGGTTGAAGTGAGTAAAGGGACAAACAGATTCATTTACAGGGAGAAAACAGAGTGAGAATTAAGTATTCCCCACACCGTCTTATTTTTATTCAAAACCCATTAAGCTTTTTCACAAATCCTGTAGTCAAGCAAGAATAGGGCTGTCCTCTTTGGAAGATGGAACAGCGGTCCATCAGGAAAATCCTACTGGACCTTCTTAGGCTGAATGTCCATTACCAACCACTGCTTTTTGGGAATCATCCTGGAACGACTGGTAGTCACTTTAGATTTCTCTAAAATGGATAGGAATTTAGATGGATAGGATATATATTTATATATAATATCTAAATCAGCTCCGAAGCCTCTATGTACCAAAGAGTAAAAATCTATTTCCTAATCAATTTGCCATCCCAAATTACAACCAACCATATTACCCACATAGCATTCCAGAAATTCACAATGACATTAAAACATTCTAAAAATAAAAATGCCCACAATAGTAAAGACAACCAATTCGAGGAAGGAAACACTCTCCGGTTATCAAATTCCAAGGGAGAATGGTTAAGTCCTCCTGCAAGATAATGCCCAAAAATTCAAATGCCAACTGGACTCCAATTAATTTGCCCTCTTGAGTTAAAAGTCCATATCCTCAATATTTATTTATTTATTTATTGAGACAGAGTCACTTGCTCTGTCACCCAGGCTGGACTGCAATGGCATGATCTCCGTTCACTGCAACCTCTTCCTCCCAGGTTCAAGCGTTTCTCCTGCCTTGGCCTCCCGAGCAGCTGGGGCTACAGGCGTGCATCACCACGCCCAGCTAATTTTTTGTATTTTTAGTAGAGATGGGGTTTCACTATAATTGGTCAGGGTGGTCTCGAACACCTGACCTCAAGTGATCCGCCCGTCTCCGCCTCCCAAAGGGCTGGGATTACAGGCGTAAGCCACCGTGCCCGGGCCCAAGTCCTCAAATTTTTAAGTTAAAGACCAAACCATCTTTTTTAGCAAAATCTTGGTGGTGTGAAACAGGGTTTTTTAAAACAGTCTCAGAAAGGGGGATAGTTTCTTTGGGATCAGAAATTGCAATGCCAAGTCTGATATATTTCAATTTGAAACATCCCAATGATAGGACACTCATGACTATTAAGCATTGGCCTCACAATCGCCAAAGTGAGAAAGCAAGCCAACATCCAGGCCCCAGAGCCATTATGTCAGGCAACACCGTGCTCCTGGTACTTAGTGCTGAAAAGGCCACAGTAAAGGGTGATGAGGTTTTGATGGCTTCAGCCTTGCCAGGATAGGTCGATGTCCACATATCTAGAATCCCCAAATGAAGAACGTAAAAAAGAGTGGAGAGCTCAGACGCTCCGGGCAGAGAGAGGCCGGGTGTCCTGCTTCTTATAGCTTGGGCGGAATGGGCGCTCAGAGCCAGCCTCCCAAAAATTCGCAGAGCCCCGCAGGGGACCGGCCACCACCGCCATTATCGCCCGCGTCTGCGCCAGGGCTCGGCGGCGTGGCGCCACCAATCGCCGGTCCGCGGGAGCCTTCGGTCTTCTTGTCTGTGACCTACTACTTCGACCACAACGCGGTGACTTGGAGGAACTTTCCCAAGTATTTTCTTCACCAGTATCATGAGGAGAGGAAACAAGCTGAAAAACTCGTAAAGCTACGGAACGGCCCGGGCAGCGCTTCGGGAGATGGAGGAAGCCCAGCGCCCGGCCTGGCCCGGCGGGAGGGCAGCAGAGCCGCTCACACTTGGAAAACGGTGTGAACCCGTCACTATGGGAACTGCGCAGTCTGGCTGCCTCCAAAAACGACACTCACAGGAGTGCCCTCTTTGAGATTCATGACCTGAATAGGCAGGTGAAAGCCATGCAAGAATTGGGTTCACGAGACGACGGAAGTGCCCCTCCCTGCCCGTTGGGTTGGTCCTCCTAGTCCCCTTCCCTGTCCCCGCCCCACCCCCAGCTGGGCCAAGTGTCTGTGACAAGTTCATCCCAGGAGACAGTGATGACTTAGAGCTGAGCCTAGATCGGCTTCCCCATGGCCATGGGGCGGATACATACTTACCCTGTCAGTTATACCAGACAATCTACTACTGTCATTTGTACCATTCCTTCAAATGAAATAATTTGGTACCCTTCCCTGTCAAAAATAAAATGAACTGAGAAAAATCTCCCAGGAGGGAATTCATTTTGCACCCATGTATATATAATATTTGGGGGAACAAGAAGGACAGGGGAGCCTTTCTCTCCCATGCAGTCTGTATGTTTTAAATATCTTTTTTCTTTTTTCAAGAGCAAGAGATGAAGTCTTGCTCTTGTCCCCCAGGCTGTAGGGCGATGGCACGATCTCGGCTCACTGCAAGTTCCACCTCCTGGGTTCACTCATCCCTTTTTCCTGCCTCAGCCTCCAGAGTAGCTAGGACTACAGGCACCCGCCACCACACCCGGCTAATTTTTTGTATTTTTAGTAGAGACAGGGTTTCACTGTGTTAGCCAGGACGGTCTCGATCTCCTGACCTCGTGATCTGCCTGCCTTGGCCTCCCAAAGTGCTGGGATTACAGGTGTGAGCCACTGGGCCCGGCCCTAATTTTTGTATTTTTAGTAGAGATGGGGTTTCACCATGTTGGCCAGACTGGTCTCGAACTCCTGACCTCCAGTAATCTGCCCGCCTGAGCCTCCCAAAGTGTTGGGATTACAGGTGTGAGCCACCATAACTGTACATTTCCTCTTAGAGTCACATGATTTTTGAATCCTGCTACTTGAATACAAACTCTGTTAACATGCTGAGGTTTTTTTTTCCTTTCTTTTCTGTTGTTTGTTTCTTTGTTTTTCTTTCATTTATAGTGCCTGTCATTACTTCTTGTGATAGATTCTTTGGTCTAAGGCTTTCACTTCATTTAACTTCACTGCAAATCATGCTTAGCAGATTACAGACGTTGCTATTGTTGCTTCTGAAGCTTGTGCCTAGGAAAATGGTTCTCAAGTATGGGCTCCAGACAAGAACATAAGCATTACTAGGATTTGATAGAAATGCAAATTATTGGACTTCCATCTGAAACTTTGGAGATAGGCCTCGTAATAGGTAAGTTAACAAGCCTGCTGGATAATTCTGATGCATGTTCAAGTTTGAGAATTATTACCCACCTCTAAGAGCTGACAAACTTTTTTCTATGAAAAGCCAGTGGACATTATGGTTTTTGTTACAACTATGAACTTCTGCCCCTGTGGAGAGAAAGGGATTTAGACAAATGGCTGTAGTGGTGTTCCAAGAAAGTTTTATTTACCAAAATAGCTGGTTTGCTGACCCCCACACTAGAGGATTAGAATACAATAATAACTTGCCTATGTCCCTCAAGACACTGTCTTTCTTCTACTTTTCAATCAATTCCATATACTTTTTGTTTTGTTTTGTTTTTTGTTTTTGAGACTGAGTTTCACTCTTGTCGCCCAACTGGAGTGCAATGGCTCAATCTCAACTCACTGCAACCTCTGCCTCCTGGGTTCAAGCAATTCTCGCACCTCAGCCTCCCAAGCAGCTGGGATTACAGGCCTGCGTCACTATGCCCAGATAATTTTTCTTTTTTCTTTTTTTCTTTTTTTTTTTTTTTTTTGAGACGGAGTCTCGCTCTGTCACCCGGGCTGGGGTGCAGTGGCGCGATCTTGGCTCACTGCAACCTCTGCCTCTGGGGTTCGTGCCATTCTCCTGCCTCAGCCTCCCAAGTAGCTGGGACTACAGGCGCCCGCCACCACGCCCGGCTAATTTTTTTGTATTTTTAGTAGAGATGGGGTTTCACTGTGTTAGCCAGGATGGTCTTGATCTCCTGACCTTGTGATCCGCCCACCTCAGCCTCCCAAAGTGCTGGGATTACAGGCGTGAGCCAATTTTTCTATTTTTAATAAAGATGGGGTTTCACCATATTGGCCAGGTTGGTCTCGAACTCCTGACGTCAGGTGATCCACCTGCCCCGGCCTCCCAAAGTGCTGGGATTACAGGTGTGAGCCACCGTGCCCGGCCCAATTCCATATACTTTTGAAACATGTTCTTTCAGGGCACAAGCATGCCACCAAGAGTAACTCAATCATCTTGAAATATTTCCACTAGTTCTTTAAGAATTATTCATTCTTATTCATGAAAAAGCTACATTAGAGATAATTCTTTCATCAATTTCTCCTCAGCTCTGAATATGTGATAGAATTTGGAACAGTCATCTGGCAATGCCTAACTGCCTGGCACTAAGACTTTAAACTAGATTCTGTGAACTGTAAATCATAGAACTATGTGATCTTGGCTCTTTTAATGTTTAAGTGCAGCAAATATTTTATGCTTATCAATACAAAGGAAGCATATATTCTCTTTTTCCTATAGTACAATCTTTGCCGCAGAAATATCTGTTAGCAAAACCTCAGTTTATGAATTAAGCTTTGGTCCCATACAACTGTTAGAAGCTCATCCGGGGTCTCTATACCGCAGCTAAGAAGCTTTGTGATTCCTGTGCACCTTTACTGAGGCCAGCCATCTGAGCCATGTACCTCTGCTGGCGCCCTCTTGCTGTTCCCAGACTCTTTGGTGTCCTTGCCTAAGGCCTGGGCAGCCTTATAAAATTGGGCTGGCCTTATTTTAGCCTGCGGTGTGAAGCGAAGTTGTAGCAGCTGAAGATTGGTCATTGACTATAAGTCTGTAAAAAACCTCCAAGATCAGAAAACCATGGTGACACATAAAAGTCCAGTGTCCAAAGATACAGCTGTGATCCCATCAAAATCTTCCTAATGTACTTTTTTCGCTCCAAAATTTTACTCCTTTCTAAATATTCATTGCCTGTAGCCAATGTACCAAATATTGAGGCCCCTTAGAAGATTTAATAAATAGCTCCCTTCTCCCATACCCAAGTTCTAAATGCATTGAAAACTAATATGGAGGCTAGCTGTCAACTTTATTGCTTATAAATTATGAGTGAGAGAAAACAGCTTGGGTATAAGGACCTAAAGGGATTTCTAACACTGAGCCCCAGAATTGACTGGAATTATACAGTTTTGATACCTAAAGACCTTCCTATCCTTACACTAGTTTGCTGCAGAAATAGAGCCTGACCCTGTTTGGGCAGCAGGGTATGTGCTCCCTCTGGAAAGCTCCTTTAAAAAGATAACTGCTGAGTTAAGTATGGCCTGTCTATTCTTCCCAAACTTACCCAACAACTAAATCACTTCTTGCCTTTGGGGTACAGTGAGTAAAACAGTGGAGAGTACAAAGGAATAATATCAATTGAGCTTCTTCCACCTGGAAAAATACATATTGGGTGCAGAAAGTAATTAATTATACCATTTAACAGAGACTACTGACCATTTGTAAATTTTGCCATGTGAATGGTCTGCTCAAGTCCTTGGCTCACTATAATTAGATTATTTGTCTTCTTGTTGATTTGTAGCAATCATTTATATATCCTGCAAATGAGTTATTTGACAATTATATCTATCGTGAATATGTTCTCCCAGCCTATGACCAATCTGTTTCTTTCTTAATGGTTTTTTTTTCTGATGAGCAGAAGTTTTAAATTTTGATCATTATTATTTAATCAGTTTGTTCTTATAATTATTACTCTCTGCTTTCTTCTATTTAAGAAACATTTTTTAAACCACAGATTATAAAAATATCATCCTGTGTTTTCTTCCAGTCTTAGTATTTTTAATTTATTCATTTGGGTCATTCATTTATCTTATATTAATTTTTGTGCCTGGTGCAAGGTAGAAGTCATATGAATACAGACACGTAGTTGTTCCAGAATCATTTGTTGAAGAGATATCCCTTTCCTTCCCCCATATAACCACTATTACACCTTTTTCAAAAATCAATAGACTAAATACGTGTGATTTTATAAATGATTCCTTTTATCCATTTGTCTATTCTTGTATTAATAACAAACAATCCTAATTAGTGTTAATATGTAAGTCCTGAATCAGCTAATGTAGATACTCTGACTTGGATTTTTATTTTCAAACTTGTTTTGTTTTTTCAAGTAATTTGCATTTCCATATAAATTTTAGAATCAACTTACTGATTTCTATCAAAATGTTCTATGTATCTTACTGGGATTGAATAATATCTGTAAATTTATTTGGAAAAAAATGACTTTTTAACAGTTTTGAGTATTACAAACTATAAACATGGGATGTATCGCCATTTGTTTAGGTCTTATTTAATTTCTCTTGGAAGCAGTGTTTTGTAGTTTTCAGTGTAGAAATTTGAAACCTCACATTAAATTTATCTACACATTTCGTTATTTTTCCATGCTGGTATAAATCATATCTATTTCATCATTTTCACCGTTTGTTACTCATATATAAAAGTTCAACTGATCTTTGCTATTGGCATTTCTTCCATTAATCTATGAAATGTATTTATAAGTTCTAGTATTTTTTGGCAAATTACTTAAGATTTTTCACACAATCATGCTGTCTACATATAAAATTGTTTTAATTTTCCACTTGTAATCTCTATGACTTTTATTTACTTTACTTGCATTGCACCTCTAGTACAATGATGAATAAAAGTGATGAGAGTGTGCAAATCTTGCACATTTCCAAATGTATCAACTTTAGAAAAAAGGCATAAGTTTTCCACCATTAATTTTGATGTTAGCTCCAAGTTTTCCATAAATACCATATTTCATTTTGTGGAAATTCACTTTCATTTCCAATTTGCTGAGAGTATATATCAAAAATGTTGATTTTTTAAATGCTTATTTTGCTTCTATTAAGATACACTTTTTAAAAAATGTTAAATAAATACTTCTGTTAGAATAGATGCGAGGAAAACAAATTCAGCTTTAGTACTGTCTGTCATATTTCAGTAGGTTTTCTTTTTCCAAATTGAATTTTGAGACCTCTTACATTTAAATGGAACAGGATTGATAAATTAAAAGTCTTATACTTGGTAGAGTAGCTAAACAGAATTATAATGAATAAAGCAAAATAGTGAAGTGTTTACAACAATTTCAATGGAACAAGTGACTAATCTTTTAAACAGCCTGTATTGTCAGTTTCAAGTTGGATTCACCAATGGTCATTCATTCCTTTATTCATGTTTTTATTTATAAAAAAATCTATCAAGTACTTATTACATTTTAGTAATAAATAAATGTGCATACATATAAAGAAAAGATTGCTGGAATGTTTATCAAAGTGATAACTATAGTTATCACTAGGTAGTGTGAGTAGGCCTGGCTTATTTTCTTCTCTAAATAACTGTATTTAATTAATTATTTTCAAAAGTAATATTTTATTTTTATAAATGGAAAAAAAGTTATTTTTTAAAATCATTCCAAGATGAAAACAGTATAACCTCTCAATCTCAACATCAGTTACCTAGGACAGGAATTCACATGTTAGAGACTGGCAAATTGCCACGTACAGATGCATAGCCTCTGTAGTCCCTAGTTTACTGTGATCTGGAACAGCATCCATCATGTTTATGCTAGATATCTGATATGGTTTGGCTGTGTCCTTCCACCCAAATCTCATCTTGAATTGTAGCATAATCCCCATGTGTCAAAGGAGGGAATTGGTAGGAGGTAATTGAATCACAGGGGCAGTTGTCCCCTATGGGTTGTTCTTCTCATGATAGTGAGTGGGTCTCACAAGATCTGATGGCTTCATAAAGTGCAGTTCCCCTGCACACGATCTCTTGTCAGCTGCCATGTAAGATGTGCCTTTGCTTCTCCTTCACCTTCCACCCTGATTGTGAGGCCTCCCCAGCCATGTGAAACTTGAGTCCATTAAACCTCTTTTTCTTTAAAAATTACCCAGTGTTGGGTATTTTTTTCATAGCAGTATGAAAATGGACTAATACAATATCACCAACAACTTCTTCCCCCTTATTCCATTATACCTGGTAGTAAATTAAATGTTTAGCATATGACAAAAACAGGACAAAGGGAGTGGAGAATCTATTTCTAATGCCCAAGCCCAGGTTCAATGCATACTTATCCTCAAGTGCATCTAATTTTATATACTTTTAAGCCAAATAGACTTTCAGTAGGGAAAGTCATAATGTCCCTTTATTCATGCCTGATTTTTCTAAACTGATTGTATCTATTCCTTAGAGCCCTGCTCATTATTAGCTCAGTCCATTGGATCTATGAAGGTACCAGAGGCATCAAGAATGTAGGAGAGGCATTCTTTCCTTCAGCAAGGACTTAATGTCTTCCTGGAAATATCCTAAGTATTGAGAATATAGAGATGAACAGCACAGAGAAGACTCCTGCTTCCATAGGGTTTCTATTCTAGTGAAAAGGGGGAGATAGAAAATAAAGGAATAGGCCAGGCATGGTGGCTGATGCCTGTAATCCCAGCACTTTGAGAGGTTGATGTGGGCGGATCACATGAGGTCAAGAGTTCAACACTAGCCAGGCCAACAAGGTGAAACCCTGTCTCTACTAAAAATACAAAAATTAGCTGGGCTTGTTGGGATATGCCTGTAATCCCAGCTATTTGGGAGGCTGAGGCACAAGAATCACTTGAACCCAGGAGGCAGAGGTTGCAGTGAGCTGAGATCACACCACTGCACTCCAGCCTGGGCAACAGAGTGAGACTCCATCTCAAAAAAAAAAAAAAAAGATAATAAAGGAATAGATTGTAATTCATTATGCATAAAAAAGAAAACAAACAAACATACCAGAAACTATTAAAGTACTGTCCACTCTAGAAGTGCTGATCAGAAAAGGCCTGAGTAGTGACATTTAAGCTAAATGATAAGAAAAAGTCAGGCATGAAAAAATCTAGGTGACAGCATTCTGGGCATAAGGAACATAAGCACGTAAGCACCGGCACAGAGAAGAGCTCACTGTGTCAAGACATAGAAAGAAGGCTGGTGAGACTGAAACACAATGGACAGGGAAATGTGGTTTAAGAGGTAGACAAGGATGGTCCCTGTAAGATTTCCAAAATTACTACAGATCATGCCAAACTATTCATTTTCCTTTCTAGCTTTTTAGTTTCTTTACAGAAATGACCTTACTCATACCTTATAAATATATCTCATAACACTAATTGTGGGAATAATTATCCAGCAGTACAAAAAAATGACAGATGGTTGTATCCATTCTGCAGTAACTTACAATAGAAGAGCAAATGATATTCAAGATTCCAAACGTTTGTTTCATTTTTCCCTGCTCTCAATTTTATACTGTTGTATGTCTTCTCTACTGGTTCATGAATGTGAGTTATTGAACCTCTTTATCCTTAATTTGCTGATAATTTAAATGTGGATAATAATTTCTATAATAACAACTGGGGAGTCATGATATGAGATTTTAGTGAGATAATAGATGTGAAAAAAACTTTAAAGAGCTGGAAGCACTAAGCTGAGAGTGAGAAACTGGTATTAAAGTGGAAGATGGTAACCTATAAAAGATCTTTTGCAAAATAGAAACTAGGGGTTTTTTTCCCCTTCCCATTGGTTAGGAAACTGTTATAACTATCAGTGAAATCACCACCTTGATTAGCTTCCTGCTGCTGCTATAGAAGATTATAACAAACCTAGTGGCTTAAAAGAACACTAATTTATAATCTATTCTGGAGGCTAAAAGTTAGAAGGGTCTCACTGAGCTAAAATCAAGATGTTGACAGGGCCACACTTTTTCTGGAAGCTTTAGAGAAGAACTTCTTTCCTTGCTTTTTCCAGCTTCTAAAGGCTGCTCACATTCTTTGATTCTGGGACATCTTTAAAGCCAACTTAGTCTATTGGATCTAATGGGGCTGGGTCTTTCCCATGCTGTCATATCTCTAGTTCTCTCCCTTCTTCCTTCTTCTTCCACTTATAAGTATTCTTGTGATACTGGCTTCACTCAGATAATCCAGGATTAACTTCCCATCTCAAGACTGGCTGATTAACAACCTTAATTCTAGCTTTAGCATTAATTCCTCCTTGCTATGTAATCTATTTACAGGTTCCAGGAATTAGAATGTAGACATCTTGAGGAGCTGTTTTTGGCATCTCACACCACATTAGAGTGGTTTATTATGGAATTCTAATGTAGACAGTCATGGATAACACAGTGACAGTTTCGAAGTAGGCTAAGATTGCACGTGAGGTTTCGGTGCTTAGATGAAGAGATAGTCCATATCAGTCTGAGGTATATGCACAGAGAACAAAAAACTGTCTCAAGGGGAGAAGGAAGCAGTCGGTCAGCTCTCCATTAGTAGTAGCTCAGTCTATATGAAGAATAGCACAAACCATCTGGTGTTTAGGCCCTCATGACAAAGAACACATGTGATGGTTAATATTGAGTGTCAACTTGACTGGATTGAAGGATGCAAAGTATTGATCCTGGGTGTGTCTGTGAGGATGTTGCCAAAGGAGATTAACATTTGAGTCAGTGGGCTGGGAAAGGCAGACCCCTTAATCTAGGTGAGCACTATCTCATCAGCTGCTAGTGTGGCTAGAATATGAGCAAGCAGAAACATGTGAAAAGAGAGACTGCCCTACCCTCCCAGCCTACATCTTTCTCCCCTGCTGGATGGTTCCTGCCCTCAAACATTGGACTCCCAGAACTCCATTAGCTCTGTCCCTCTAGAGAACCCTGACTAATACGATACATGAGGTGAGATTTTTAAAAAATCTGAACTCCACCAATCAGAGGTCCCTTTTTATAGCGTTTTTCAGTCCCTGCTTCTTTTTCTCATGTAACAGTCTTCCAACCTGAACCCAGTCAAGCTCTGCTGTTTTTCTAAGTATCTTCTTGTTCAGCCAATAATTCTTTCGGTTGGCTTTTAATTTAGGAGTTGGTTAATCATAAGAAAAATTACTTTGGACCAAAATGTTTATAGTTGCTTTGCCTATGCTAACATACAGGCAAAGCAACTATAACATGACAAATACAAATTCTCCCTAATGCCCAGGCTGTGACAGACCAGGAACTTAAGTGTAACATATGATCTGTACATAACTAAAATTTATTAAAATCATCAGCATCAAATATTAATCATGAGCACACTACCTACAGGGCTTTCTATATTAGGCAATGAAGATAAATAGTTATGAGATACGGTTTCTGCTCTTAAGAGGCCTGTCAAGCTCTTTGGTGTGACGGGATTCATACCTAAAATAAGCAAAAATGTAAGGCAAAATGCCAAGAGAGGGGTTGAGACAATGAGTACTACAGAATTTCAGAGAACAAAAAAAAATCATTGAAAGAACATTTATGGCAGGATATATGGAGCTTAGTTCAGTTAGTCTTGAACAAGTATAAAGGAACACATAGATTATTCCAAGCAAGGAGAATACCTTGATGGGTACAAAGGTACATAGGTAAAATCACATGATTGTTCTGAGGGACAATGAAAAGTCCATTTTGACTAACACAGGAGATGTGTGTCAAGAATATGAGGAGTTCACCTTGACACATGACTGCATAAGACTATATCAAGGTAATTCAGTTGATCCTTAGGTTTACACAAAAGGAAACAGCTAGGAGTAAGGGAATACCAGTGTGAAGAGCCAGTTCAGGAAGAAAATCTAACAGAATGTATTAGTGAGAGGATATTATTATAATGATGAGTCTCTGATTAAATCATCATCTATTTCATTATCTCCATCTATATTTCTATATCTATAGCTATACAGTCATGTACTACATAATGACATTCTGGTCAATGACGAACTGCATGTGCTACAGTGGTCCCATAAGATTAAAATGAAGCTGAAAAATTCCTGTGGCCTAGTGATGTCATAAGCATCAAACTGTGGTAATGCAATGCATTTTCACATGTTTGTGGTAATGCTGGTGTAAACAAACCTACCGTGCTGCCACTCAAAGTATAGCACATAATATTTGGTAATGACAATAAATGACTATGTAACTGGTTTATGTATTTACTATACTATAATTTTCATTATTATTTTAGAGGATAGCCCTTCTATGTTTATAAAAAAAAAGAATTAACTGTATAACAGCTTCAGGTAGGTCCTTCAGGAGGCTTTTCAGAAGAAGGCATTGTTACCATGGGAGATGACAGTTCCATGCATGTTATTGCCCCCGAAGACCTTTCAGTGGGACAAGATCTGGAGGTGAAAGAGAATGACACTGATTATCCTGACCCTGTGTAGGCCTAGGCTAATGTATCTGTTTGTGTTTAAGTTTTTAACAAAAAGTTTTAAAAAGTAAAAAATAAATTAAAAGTACAAAAACAGAAAAAGTTTGTAGAATAAGGATACAAGGAAAAAATATTTCTGTATAGCTGTACAATGTGTTTGTGTTTTAAACTAAGTTTTATTACAAGAGTCAAAGTTAAAAAAGTTTATAAAGTAAAAAAAGATTCCAGTATGCTAAAGTTAATTTATTATTAAAGAAAGAAAAATATATTTTTAAAATTTATTATATCCTAAGTATGAAGTGTTTATGAAGTCTAGAGTAGTGTAATGTTTTAGGCCTTTACATTCACTCACCATTCACTCACCGACTCACCCAGAGCAACTCGCAGTCCTTCATGCCCCATTCTTGGGACATGCCCAATACAGGTGCACCATTTAAAAAATAAATCTTTTATACTGTATTTTAAATATACCTTCTCTATATCTAAATATACAAATATTTACCATTTTGTCATACTTAGCTATAGTATTTAGTACAGTAACATGTTGTACAGGTTTGTTGCCTAGAAACAAAAGACTACACCATATAACCTAGGTTTGTAGAAGGCTATACCATCTATATTTGTGTATGTACACTCCATGATGTGCATACAATAGTGAAATTGCCTAATGATGCATTTCTCAGGACATATCCTTGTCATTAAGCAATACATGACAAAATACGAATTTACAAGCGTCTATCTATATTATTTATAATTTGACCTATTTTTCCCATTAAATAACTTCCTTGGTCCAAAAGATGATGCTGTTTTATTTTTATGAAGCTGAACCACAGCTTTCTTAGTAGCAAAGAGGTACTAAGAAAAAATATTGGCCTTTAACACGTGAGTATATTGTCTAATATTGCTGCAGTTGAAAACTGTAATAACAATGCCTTCTTAAGCTGACTGCCTTCCTGAAAACAGAAATACTCCTCTGGTAAATATATTTTAGTGAACACAGTCTCCTGGGAACAAGCAGAAAAATCATACTCTCTGTACCAGGTTTCAAGTGGCTACCTGACACTCTCCACCCTTTAAATTTGCTCCTTGCCATCTTTCTAAAACTGAAGGAGTTGGGCGGGTATGTGAATGTGGGTCTTAACTAAAAATGCCTTCAGCTTTGGTGGTTTGGCTCTAGAAAAGACAGTGATATGGTTTAAAGGAGATGAATTCACTAAGAATCAAGCTAATAAACAATAGTGGTTGAAAAAACAACCTGAAAGTTAATGGATTTTGTGAATAAACAAGCAGTGGAAAATAAAGCATTACCAATGTCTCTGAATTTTTATAAACCTTCAAATTTGAGGAGCATTATTTTGTTCTTACATGTGGCTTCTTTTCCTAATAATGGCAAAATAGTACACAAAATTAAAGGAACAGTAAATGCATTAATAAAAATATTTAAAAAGAGGCATAACTTTTTCCATTCAAGACAAAAATTCGTATGCCTTATACTTATAAGATATAATTTTAAATAAATAGTGTCAAACTTTACATAGATACGTAGATAGATAGATAGATAGATAGATAGATAGATAATCACAGATATTAAGCTATATAGGGTACTTTATACATGCCTAAGATCATCAAAATAACCCTGCAGATTAGACAGGGAAGATTTTATGAGTTCTGTTTTATAAAATGAGAAAAACTTTTACAGAGAGTCAATGACTCACCAAGGTCATATAGTTAGTTAATAAAATTGTACTTACATGTGTAAGCACACAGGTTTTTCATTCTAATATATCTTTGATAGGAATCCTTTCTCAGTCCCTTTCTATTAATAGCTGAGAGATGTTCTAATGGAAACTCCCTGAGTTTCACTTTCTTCGTATCTAAAGTGAGACTGCTTTCTAATATATAAATTTTGGTGAAGATGAAATGAGATAAGAAATATAAAGTTTCCAATACAGTATCTGGCACATAATGAGAGCTCAATAAATGCAGATATTTTGGTTTATTGTTTCTGCATAACAAAACACCCAAGATTCAGTAGCTTATAACAACGAAAATCATTTATTATCCCTTGAGAGTCTATGACCTGACAGTGTTCGATTAGATGCTTCTGCCACAGGCTTGCTGAGCTTTGGCTGGTGGACAATCTAAAATGGCTTGCTCACGTGACTGACAGTTAAGGCTGGTGTGTTAGCGTGGAGCTCAGCTGGAGCTGTAGCCAGATCACTTCGGTTTTACTCTATCTTTTTTTTTTTTTTAATACTTTAAGTTTTAGGGTACATGTGCACAATGTGCAGGTTAGTTACATATGTATACATGTGCCATGCTGGTGTGCTGCACCCATTAACTCGTCATTTAGCATTAGGTATATCTCCTAATGCTATCCCTCCCCCCTACCCCCACCCCACAACAGTCCCCAGAGTGTGATGTTCCCCTTCCTGTGTCCATGTGTTCTTACTGTTCAATTCCCACCTATGAGTGAGAACATGCGGTGTTTGGTTTTTTGTCCTTGCGATAGTTTACTGAGAATGATGATTTCCAATTTCATCCATGTCCCTACAAAGGACATGAACTCATCATTTTTTATGGCTGCATAGTATTCCATGGTGTATACGTGCCACATTTTCTTAACCCAGCCTTTCATTGCTACAATATCCAAAATCTACTCTATCTTGTCTCTATGTGGTGAGCTTCTCTCAACATGGTCAAAGAGAGAGTATTCCCACTGCACAAAAGCAGAAGCTGATGATCTCTTCAGGCTCAGTCCTTGAAACTATATAGAATCATTTTCTTCATATTCTGTTGATCAAATAAAGGTATAAATTCAGCCTAGATTTAGGAGGAAAAGGAATAAGTTACACCTTCCATGAAGAGGTGTGGCAAAGAATTTATAGGTACTTTTAATCTACCATAGCCCTCTCTATGACCAAAAATTATTTACATTCTTTCCACAGGCAAAAATACACACACCCTGTGTCAGTTTTCTAGGGCTGACATATCAAACTGCCTCCAAATGGGTGACTTAAAGCAAATATTTACTGTCTCTCAGTTTCAAAGGCAGAAGTGAGAAGTCAAGACGTCCACAGGGCCATGCTCCCTTGGAAACCTGGAGAGGAGCATACCTTCTGTCCTTTTCTAAATTTTGAGTTTGTCCGAAATCCTGGGTGTTTCTTGGCTTGTAGGTGTTTCATTCCAATCTCTGTTGCTATAATCACATGGCCGTCTTCTCTGTGTGTCTCCTTTTTTCTTAAAAGCATATCAGTCCCACTGGATTAAGGGTTCACCCACCCTACTCCTTATGACCTTATCTCCTTATAAGCTCCTATTACCTTATCTTAACTAATTACATTTACAATGACCTTATTTCCAAATAAGGTCACATTTTGAGGTATTAGTGGCCAGGGCTTTAACACATGTTTTAGGGAACACAATTCAACTAAAGCATATCATCTCCCAATTCCCTCCAAAGTCTGATTTCATTACAATATCAGACTCTGGCTCAGCATCAAGTATTTATATATATATATATACACATATATATAAAATATTATATTATATTATATTATATTATATTATATATTATATTATATAAATACAGTCCAGAATTTCTTGGTTCATATTCTTAGGTGCCACTCCATGAATATAGT
Source organism: Homo sapiens (assembly GCF_000001405.40). Classification (NCBI taxonomy): domain Eukaryota; kingdom Metazoa; phylum Chordata; class Mammalia; order Primates; family Hominidae; genus Homo; species Homo sapiens. The sequence goes on from NC_000002.12 coordinate 52,643,928, forward strand.
TATTTTCATTTGGAAGACATGGAAACTAAATGGATGAGTTATTCCACCTCAGGACAGCAATCCAGATGACTTTGACTAACCCAGTTCTCCCTCATTTCTTGCCTATAGTTCTCAAGAATAACTGTAGAATATGCTGGTAATGCGATATGCTGAGATAACAGAGTTATCTCTTATTAGGTTTTGTTCCAGTCACTCACTTCCCATCAGCAACAGGATGTCATCCTTCAATGCTTTAGCTCATTGAGCAACGTGACCCTGAGGTATGTAACCCAAAAAGAAAAGTTTATTTTCCAGGTTCATCATCTGTGGTGCAGGAGGGGCACATGCAGTCAAGACCCTATCTGCCCCAGGCAGCTTTCTGTGTCTTGGTGGACAAGCTCACCATAAATCTTAGGCTTCTGTTGTCCCTTGCTGTCTATCTGTAAATAATAAATCCATTTTATGCCACTTGCTGCATATAACTGGGTGGTATCTCACTGGACTCAGATGAGTTGGTAACCAGTGCACTGTTGACCTGCTTCACCACACACCCCTCAACAGACACAGCACACAGATAAAATGAAGTTAGGATTATTACAGTAAACACTCCTGTTAAAATAAGAGGAAATGAGAGGCACAGGACAGTCACCGGTTCACATCAGTTGTGGTATCCAATTGGATAGTTTCTATCAATTCCTCCTGCTCTGGGGGAAGGAAATGTTCCATATTAACGCTGTTTTGTTCACTAATAGCTTTTCTCTCTTGCTCACGGCTCTAATCTTCTGAGTCATGTTTGTAACCAGGTTTCTCAGCCTTCTTCCTTTTGTTTTGAAATTTTTTCTGTCACTGTTCATCCAAGCTGGTACAATCCCTTTAAAAACTTTGTGGGTTTTCTACGCACAAACTTACAAACCACTCCATTAGGCAAAGCCACACCTACAAAAATCCCCTTCAAATCATGCTCAAGTCTAGTTTTGGATGTGAGTCAGAATACTACGGGAAGATGTTGCCAAGAGTCTTAGAGGCCTTTTTGTTTAGCTGAAAGGGACTAAGAGGCTTTGCTGTAAATATTGCTAAAAACTTAAAGGCACCCTGGATTTGATCCTGATCTTGGGCCACATTTTACTGACACTGCCCTGAAATGGACCCTTGTCCTGGGGCATTTTTTTACATTGAGTAACTTGGTGGCTAGAGATATAGTCCTGAGCCCTCTATAGTTCTTTTATAGTCTGCCTGAAAATTATGTAATGTTTTCTTGTGCTTATCAGAGGTAGCTTTAAAAATCCAGTTGTGACTTTCAAGATTCTGCCTCAGAATCTTCTTAACCAGATCCAAAGTTGGTTAGGTACATTTTCTATCCTCCCCATGGGAATATAAAATATTTTTTCATCAGTATATAACTATTTCATTATGCAAAGATAATAGAAAAGTAAAATAATTATCTATTTAGCATGTTATTATGGGAAAATAATGGTTTTGTAGTTAATCTAATGTCCATTTTTTAAATAAAGCATGTCTAGTAAGATTCCTCCTCATCTACAAACTGATGTGTAATCTGGATCATTTTCTTTAAATTATCCTTAACTTGTTTAAAAATAAATTTGGAGCTAGTGATTTAATGAGGTACTTTATAATATTTATTCCAAATCTACAGTTATGATTTTGGTGGTCTATAATAATATAATTGGATATTTTTAATTTCAATCCCAAAGAAATTACATATATATTGTTAAGGTTTGGGTATGACATTCCCTCAACATATACTTTTAAAATAATGATGATAATGATAGTAACAATAATAATAATAATTGACATAAGACAAGTGCATACTATGCTCCAGACACTGTTCCTTGCTCTTTGCCCTAATTAATACATTTAATCTTCAATACAACCTAAGAGGTAGGTAGTCACTATTATTATCCTCTGCATTTTACTGATAAGAAAACTGAGGCACAGGAAGTTTAAGTAATTTGTTCAAGGTCACACAAATAAGAAAAAGCAAGTCAGGATTTTAACACAGATAATTTAGGTACAGCATTCACAATTGTAACTACTAGTATTGAATGAACTTTATATGCTAGCAAGCACTTTGCCAAAATTAGTAATGCAAAAGAATGATTAAACAGATCCTCAACTCCCTAGGTGTTTACATTCAGAAAGAGGTTGAATACATGATGCCAATTAAAATTCAGTATCATGCTTGAGAAAATAAAGGTAGGTATACACAGAGTTACAAGAGTGAGGAAAAGATATGCCAAACTCTGCTGGAAGAATGAGCTGGAGTTTGGGATTCAGATAAATTTTATGTTAAATAAATTATGTTTGAATTCAGTCTTAAAGAATACGTAGAAATCACAAGGCCCACAGAGGTAATGAGAACATCTCAACCAAAAATATGTGAAGCACATACTAACAATGCTATTTCAAGAGTGAAATATTAAGAATCACCAAATATCAATGAGCATGCATCCATTCAAAAGCAGTTTAAGTAACAAATTTAAATTATGACCCCAAGCCTAAGAAACTCCATTAAAAATAGATATGTTCAGTAATTTTTTTTAAAAGGCAGGATGTAAAATTTTATATTCATTGATTATGAAATAAAAAACAATTTCATGGGAAAACAGAATGGAAAGAATCATAAAGTGTAGTGAGTAAGGGAATTAATTTGCTTTTTTGTTTAAAAATGTAATATTGTAATGAGATTTACAAGGCAAAATATGCATGCTATAAAAATAGTAACGGGCATGGAGAAAGACAGTTATATTCCTCTCTTAAAAGGCAATGCTTCTCATTTATTGCAGTATATATAAACTTAAAATATCAAGGATATTAAATGCTGTTATAAAACAAAAATTTCACAGATGGTGTGATGATGTGGATGACTAGAAGAAAAGATTATCACAGAAAGTTATAAATAGACTCCACATTATAAAAATATAGTATACAATAAATGAAGCATCACAAAATAATGTGACAAAACAGGATTTCTGTAAAATAAATGAAAGCCAAGGGAAAGATGACTTTATACACATGTGTTAAATCATATTTACATTACCTTTTATAAGAAGCAGTGGATATACATAAAATTAATTCGTTAGAATATTAGAGATTATAGAAGCTAGTGTGAACAGAAATAGTATGTGACTATTTTCCTAGAGGGATCAAGATAAACTCAGGTTATTGTTGTCAAATCAATTATACACCTCACAAGCTTTGAATTTATTCTAATATCTAGGACATATAAATTTAAAAGTGTATGTCTGAGGCTTGTTCTTTGTATTATTAGTCCATTCTCACACTGCTATAAAGATACTATCCAAAACTGGATAATTTATAAACAAAGGAGCTTTATTTGATGCATAGTTCCAGAGGCTAAACAGGAAGCATGGCTAGGAGGCCTCAAGAAACTTGCAATCATGGTGGAAGGCAAGCAGGAAGCAGGCACCTTCTTCACAAGGTGTTTAGAAGGAGTGTGTGTAAGAACAAGGAAATGCCACACTTTAAAAAAATCAGGTCTCATAAGAACTCACTCAGTATCATGAAAGAGCATGGGGGAAACTGTCCCCCATGATTCAATCACCTCCCACTGGGCACCTCCTGGGACACATAAGGATTATGGGGATTACAATTCAAGATGAGATTTGAATGGGGAAACAGCCAAATCATATCATTCCACCCCTGGCCCTTCCCAAATCTCATGTCCTCACATTTCAAAACAAAATTGTTTCTTCCTAATAGTCCCCCAAAGTCTTAACTCAGTCCAGCATTAATCCAAAAGTCCAAGTCCAAAGTCTCGTCTGAGACAAGGCAAGCCCCTTCCACCTAGAAGCCTGTAAAATAAAAAGCAAGTTAGTTACTTCTAAGATACAACGCAGGTACAGGCATTGAATAAATGCTCCCATTCCAAATGGGAGAAATTGGCCAAAACAAAGGGACTACAGGCCCTATGCAAGTTGAAAATCCAGCAGGGCCATCATTAAATCTTAAAGCTCCAAAATAATCTCCTTTGACTCCATGCCTCACATCCAGGGCACAGTGATGCAAGGGATGGGGTCCCAAGGCGTTGGGCAGCCCCTTCACTGGCTGGCATTGAGTGCCTGAGGCTTTTCCATATGCAGAGGACAAGCTGTCGATGGATCTACCATTCTGGGGACTGGAGGACAGTTGCCTTCTTTTCACAGCTCCACTATGCAGTGCCCCAGTGGGGACTCTGTGTGGGGGCCACGCCCCACACTTTCCTTTCACACTGTCCTAGCAGAGTTTCTCCATGAGGGCTCCACCCATGAAGCAGACTTCTGCCTGGACATCCAGGCATTTCCATACATCCTCTGAAATCTAGGCAGAGGTTCCCAAACCTCAGTTCTTGACTTTTGTGCACCTGCAGGTCCAACACCATGGGGAGACCAGAAAGGCTTGCAGCTTGCACCCTCTGAAACAACAATCTGAGCTGTACCTTGACCCCTTTTAGTTATGGCTGGGACACAGGGTGCCAAACCCTAAGGCTGCACAAAGCAGCACTGGGGCCCTGGGCCCAGCCCATGAAACCATTTTTTCCCTGCTAGGTTCTGGGTCTGTGATGAGAGGGGCTGTCTTGAAGGTCTCTGACATGCCCTGGAGACACAGACACCTTCCCCATTGTCTTGGTGATTAACAGTGGGGTGCTAATGACTTATGCAAATTTCTGCAGCTGACTTGAAGAAAACGGGTTTTTCTTTTCTACCATATGGTGAGGCTGCAAATTTTCCAAACCTTTATGCTCTGCTTCCCTTAAAAACATAAGTTCCAAGTTCAAGCCAACTCTTTGTAAATGCATATAACTGAATGTTTTTCAGAGCACCCAGGTCAAATTTTGAATGCTTTCCTGCTTAGAATTTTTTTTCTGCCAGATACCCTAAATCCTCTCTCAGGTTCAAAGTTCCACAGATCTCTAGGGCAGGGGCAAAATGCTGCCAGTATCTTTGCTAAAGCATAGCATATATTACCTTTACTCCAGCTCTCAATAAGTTCCCCATGAAGTTTGCCTTAGTCTGCACTTCATTGTTCACATCACTATCAGCATTTTGGTCAAAACTATTCAACCTGTCTCTAGGAAGCACCAAACTTTCCTACATCTTCCTATCTTCTTCTGAGCCCTCCAAACTGTTCCAACCTCTGCTTGTTACCCAGTTCCAAAGTCACTTCCACATTCTTAAGTATCTTTATAACAGTGCCCCACTACCTCAGTACCAATTTACTGTATTAGTCCATTCTCACATTGCAATAAAGATATTCCCCAAAATATAAACAAAGAAGGTTTAATTGACTCACACTTCCACAGGCTTAACAGGAAGCATGGCTAGGAGGCCTCAGGAAACTCACAATCATGGTGGAAGGTGAAGGGGAAGCAGACACCTTCTTCACCAGGGAGTAACAGGGAGTGTGTCCAGGAATGAGGAAGTACCACACATTAAAATCATCACCTCTTTTGGGAACTCACTATCATAGGAACAGCATGAAGGAAACTGCCACCATGATCCAATCACCTCCCACCAGATCCCTCCCTGGATACGTGGGGATTATGGGCATTATAATTTGTATTAGGGTTCTCTAGAGGGGCAGAACTAATAGGGTAGGTATATATACAAAAGGGAGTTTATTAAGTAGTATTAACTCATACAATCACAAGGTCCCACAATAGGTCATCTACAAGTTGAGGAGCAAGGAAGCCACTCTGAGTTCCAAAGCTGAAGAACTTGAAGTCTGATGTTTGAGGGCAGGAAGCATCCAGCATGAAAGAAAGATGTAGGCTGGGAGGCTAAGCCAGTCTAGCCTTTTCACGTTTTCCTGCCTGCTTTACATCCTGGCCATGCTGGCAGCTAATTAGATGGTGCTAACCCAGATTCAGTGTCAGTCTGCCTTTCCCAGTCCACTGACTCAAATGTTAATCTCCTTTGGCAACACCCTCATAGACAAACCCAAGATCAATAATTTGCATCTTTCAATCCAATCAAGTTGACACTCAGTATTAACCATCACAAGTCCACCCCCTGTCAACTTGAACCCATACACATCTCCTGAGATCATACTTAATCTTCAAATAAAGACAATAATAAGGTCATAATTATGCCTAACATAATACAACTAACCTTCATACAACCAGAAATGCACCAATCCCCCACCCAAATGCTATTACATAAACTTAATAACACTTAAATGCTGATAGGAAGTCAATAAATCTTATGTCACATGATAAAGGAAGATATTTTCTTAGTACAAGTGTATACCTGCACAAACATGTTTTTAACAAAAGGAGGAGGAAATACTCATGACAATTACAGTCCCAATTTCTGCAACTGATCACATGGTCATAGCTGGTATCGATAACTAACTTCTTCTACGATGCACTGTGTGTTCCCTTTGCCTTCAGCAAGCACCTCAGCAGGTCATGGCTTTTTTGTTGTTGTTGTTGTTCCTGGTGGAGTGACGCAAACCTTCATTCCTGAAGGGTCCTCACCATTTGTAATTCTGCCTGGATTGGGCTGTTGTAGTTTCCCGTTGACATTAATCACAGGGCATGGTAATACTAAGAGATGCCCTAATGGATCTCCTATATTTAATGCATACTCTTCCTTACCTCCATTGTGGAGTAGTAGGCTGATTTCATTTTGATAGTCCAGGTCAATCACCCCAGCCAACACTATAACTCCCTTCTTAGCCTGTTGACTTAAAGGTAGGAGGAGCCCAAAGTGTCCAGGTGGCAACCTTAACTTCCAGTTTAATGGAATCATTGCTGTGTGTCCTGGTGGCAGCATTCCTCCCTCTGGAACTAAGACCTCTAGGTCCAAAGAATGTAATGTTGAAGGAACAGGAAGCAAAAATTTTGCTAGTGGATCAGTAGGGGTGATGATGAGTGGTGTCACTTCCACTTCCACCTCTTGATTATTCCTGGATCTGTGAATCCTGGCTATGGGAGAAATAGTACCATATACTGGAGGCTGATCCAGAGCATGCCTGGCCTTCTGGAGAACTTTGTCCCAGCCCTGCAAAGTATTATCACCAAGTTGGCATTGTAATTGTGGCTTCAAAATGCCATTCCACTTTTCTATCAATCCAGCTGCTTCAGGATAATGAGGAACATGGTAAGACCAGTGAATTTCATGAGCATGAGCCCACTGCCGCACTTTTTTAGCCATAAAGTGAGTGCCTTGGTCAGATGCAATGCTGTGTGGAATACCATGATGGTGGATGAAACATTCTGAGTCCACAGATGGTAGTCATGGCAGAAGCATCGTGTGCAGGATAGGCAAACCCATATCCGGAGTAACTGTCTATTCCAGTGAGGACAAAGCTCTGCCCTTTCCACGATGGCAGAGGTCCCATATAATTACCCTGCCACCAGATAGCTGGCTGATTACCCCAAGGAATGGTGCCATAACGAGGGCTCAGTGTTCGTCTCTGCTGCTGACAAATTGGGTGCTCAGCAGTGGCTGTAGCCAGGTTAGCCTTGATGAGTGGAAGTCCATGTTGCTGAGCTCATGTGTAACCTCCATTCCTGCCACCATGGCCACTTTGTTCATGGGCCATTTGAGTGATGACGGGGTGGCTGAGGAAAGAGGCTAAGTGGTGTCCACAGAACGGGTCATTCTATTCACTTGATCATTAAAACACTTCTCTGCTGAGATCAAACATTGGTGTGCACTCACATTAAGATACAAATATTTTCAGTTTTTGACCACTCAGAAAGGTCCATCTACATACCTCTTCCCCAGATTTCGTAGTCACCAATTTTCCAATCATGTTTCTTCCAAGTTCCTGACCATCCAGCTAAACCATTAGCTACAGCCTATGAATGAGTATATAATTGCACAACTGGCCATTTCTCCTTCCATGCAAACTGCACAGCCAGGTGCACTGCTTAAAGATCTGCCCACTGGGAAGATTTCCCCTCACCACTCTCCTTCAGGGATGTCCTAGAAAGAGGCTGTAATGCTGCAGGTGTCCATTTTTGGGTAGTGCCTGCATATTGTGCAGAACCATCTGTGAACCAGGTCCTAGTCCTCTCTTCTCTGTCAACTAATCTTGGGAACTCCCCATGAGGCCACCAGTGCAGGCTGGGGGAGAGAAGGCAGGGTGGCAGGAGTGGAGACCATGGGCATTTGAGCCACTTCCTCATGTAACTTCAGGACCTGCTCAAACCCGATCACATATATACCACTTCCATTTAATGCTGCTGGAATGCTGGAATGCTGCTGTGCATGAGCCACTTTATGGCTAGATGTGTCAGAAAGCAATCAGTTCATGATAGGCAGTTCAGGTCGCACGGTGACTTGATGACCCACAGTGAAACATTTAGTTTCCACCAAAGCTTAGTAACAGGCCAAGAGTTGTCTCTCAAAGGAGAGTAGTTATCTACAGAAGACAGCAGAGCCTTGCTCCAAAATCCTAGAGGACTCCACTGTGATTCACCTATAGGTGCCTGCCAGAGGCTCCAAATAGCATCCCTATCTGCCACTGACACCTCAAGCACAATTGGATCTGCTGGGTCATATGGCCAAAGCGGCAAAGCAGCTTGCACAGCAGCCTGGACCTGTTGCAGGGCTTTTCCTGTTCTGGATCCCACTCAAAACTAGCAGCATTTTGGGTCACTCAGTAAATGGGCTGGAGTAACACACCCAAATAAGGAATGTGTTGCCTCCAAAATCCAGATAGGCCCAGTAGGTGTTGTGCCTCTTTCTTCGTTGTAGGAGGGACCTAATGCAGCAAATTATCCTTCGCCTTAGAAGGAATATCTTGACAGGCCCCACACCACTGAACCCCTAGAAATTTTACTGCGGTAGAAGGTCCATGAATTTTAGTCGGATTTATTTCTCATCCTCTGGCACACAAATGTCTCACCAATAAGTCCAGTGTGTTTGCTACTTCTTGCTCATTGGATCCAATCAGCATAATGTCATAAATGTAATGGATCAGTGTGATATCTTGTGGAAACAAAAAGCAATTAAGTTCTCTCCAGATAAGATTAAGACACAAAGCTGGAGAGTTGATATACCCCTGAGGCAGGACAGTAAAGGTATATTGCCAAGGCAAATTGCTTCTGGTGGGCTTTATGGACAGGAATGGAGAAAAAGGCTTTTGCCAAGTCAATGGCTGCATACCAGGTACCAGGAGATGTGTTGATTTGCTCAAGCCATGAAACCACATCTGGTACAGCAGCTGCAATTGGAGTCACCACTTGGTTAAGCTTATGATAATCCACTGTCATTCTCCAAGATCCATTTGTCTTCTGCACAGGCCAAATAGGAGAGTTGAATGGGGGTAGAGTGGGAATCCCTATCACTGCATCTTTCAAGTCCTTGATGGTAGCACTAATCTCCACAATCCATCCAGGGATACAATGTTGTTTTTGATTTACTATCTTTCCAGGTAGAGGCAGCTCTAATGGCTTCAATTTGTCCTTTGCCACCATAATAGCCTTCACCCTACCAGTCAGAGAGCCAATGTGGGGGTTCTGCCAGCCACTAAGTATGTCTATGCCAATTATGCATTCTGACACTGGGGAAGTGACCACAGGATGAGTCTGGGGACCCACTGGACCCACTATAAGTTGGACCTGAGCTAAAATCATTAATTACCTGACCTCCATAAGCCCCTACTTTAACTGCAGAACCACAATGACATTTTGGGTACCCTGGAATCAATGTCAGCTCAGAGCCAGTGTCCAGTAGTCTCCAAAATTTCTGATCATTTCCCTATCCCTAATGCACAGTTAATCTGGTAAAAGACCAAAGGTCTTCTTGGGGAAGAATGGGAGAAAGATTAACAGAATAAACTGTCAGTGATTTAGTGGAATCTTTCCTCCAGGTGACTCAGCTTCACCTTCATTCAGTGGGTTCTGGGTCTGTAAACTAGCTCAAGTCTGGAAATTGATTGAGGGACTGTGGTTCTCTGTTTCTATAACTCAAATTAGTCTTTTGTCTATTCAACCTGGAATTTTTCTGCTTATATAAATTAAGTAGGAATGCAATAGGCTTCCTATAAATTTCACTTCTAGGAACACTGTGATTAATTAGCCAACACCAGAGCTTTATATGAATCAGACTATTCTGATTGCTGTTTTGCCTCTGCTGTCCATTATGGTAGCTATGTCCATGTTGCCTTTGAGGAGTGCCACCACTTGACCCCTGCCACCTTGGGATTCAATTAGTCCCATTGTATTTAAATTTTGTAGTTGAGTAACTGCCGTTCCCACCATTAGATCTGACACACAGAGAAGAACAATTACAGGACTCTTCAAAAATGCAGGTGCTGCCCTCACAAATCTATTTCTCAAAGCATTCATCAAGGGTATATCTTCTGGACCCTCCCAGCTGGGATGAGTAGGTCTAAAGTGACTAATCCACTCCATCATCCCAATCTCCCTAAGCCTTTGGATCCCTTCCTCTACATTAAACCAAGGAAGATCAGGCATTTCCAGTTCACTCACAGTAGGCCATCTTTTAATCCGCATTACAGCTAACCAAGTAACCAAGCAAATAACCTATTAGAAACTTTTTAAACTCCCTGAGCTGCAACATTAAATGCAGAATCCCTACTAAGTGGTCCCGAATCAATAAATTCAGCCTGATCCAACTCTATGTTCCTTCCAACATTATCCCACACCCTTCCTATCCATTCCCATGCAAGTTCTCCAGATTTCTGCTTATATAAATAAGAAAAGTCAAGCAGTTCTTTTTGAGTGTAGTGCACCCCCTCATAGGTCACACTCTGAACCTCACCTCTAGGGGCCCACTTGATTCTAGTTATAGGCCTAGAATCAAACAGGGATGTTGGAGATGGCTCCTGAGGAGAATCAACGTTATCTTCCCTGGCAACTTCCTCAGGGGAGGCCATCACTATTGCCTCAGGCAGCACAGGGTTTAATCTCCTCAGACAAAGGTGGGAAGGCTGATGGCAGCATGGGTTCGGGAGGGGGTGTTGCCACTACTGGGGATGGGGAAGTTATATCTTCTGGCAAAAAAAGATTCATCAGAGTTTATAAGCCCAGTGTCCCCAGCTTCATCAGGGTCCTCCCACAAGTCCCTGTTCTAAGTTACACGGTCCTTTTCTTTTCCAATCAATGCCCTCACTTTAACAGTAGACACCTGGTGAGGCTGTGCATGCACTTTTCATTTCAGGTCAGCTGCTCTCTTGATAAGAGCTTGTGTCTGTTTTTCCACAATTTAAACTCCTTCTCTACAGGAGATAAGACTCTCACTCAGGGAAATCTTAGCAGATTTGTGTCTCAGTATCTGCTTCTGAAACCAGGAGACAGAATCCCTGAGTTCATCATTTTCTTTCATCACTTTGTCCAGTGAACTTAGGAGCAACCAACCAACTTCATTATTTTCCTTGGTTCTCCACATATAGTCAAAGGTATTATGTATAGAGTCACTAAACTCCTTGGCTCTTACAAGCGGTGAATCAGGAGTGCCAAGTGCATTTATTTTGTGTAACTCTCTAAACAGTTCACACCAAGGACTATCAGTGTTCTCCATACTATTAAAAGTAGAATCCTTAGCATTTTGGGGCCTAATCATATTAAGCAGCCAACTCCAGAAACCTCAAAACTAATGAAAGAGCTCCATCATCCTTACTATTCTCTTTCTCTAGAACCACTCCTGGCATCAAAATCTGTATTAGAGTTCTCTAGAGGGACAGAACTAATGATATATATATATATATATATATATATATATATATATCAGAACTAATTATATATATATATATATATATATATATGTATGTATATGTATATACAAAGTAGTATTAACTCACACAATCACAAGTTCCCACAATAGGCCTTCTGTAAGCTGAGAAGCAAGGAAGCCAGTCTGAGTCCCAAAGCTTAAGAACTTGGAGTCTGATGTTCCAGGGCAGGAAGCATCCAGCATGAAAGAAAAATGTAGGCTGGGAGGCTAACCCAGTCTAGCCTTTTCACGTTTTCCTGCCTGCTTTACATCCTGGCCATGCTAGCAGCTGATTACATGGCACCCGCCCAGATTAGCTGTGGGTCTGCCTTTCCCAGCCCACTGACTCAAATGTTAATCTCCTTTGGCAACATCCTCACAGACACACCCAGGATCAATACTTTGCATCCTTCAATCCAATCAAGTTGACAGTATTACCCATCACACAATTCAAGATGAGATTTGGGTGAGGACACAGCCAAACCATATCACTCTTTGAAACATTTCCCAGCAATATATGGACAATGACTGCTTAAAGGGAACTCAGTCAACATAGGAAAGATAGCCTTAGAACAACTCAGAGAACTGGCCTTGGACATAGAATCTTACAACTGAATTTATTCCATTTAAATAGTACTTTTTAGAGTCTAAATTGTACATGGGACTATACATACAGTATTCAGCTATGTAGTTACTATTAAATGAAGTTAAGTCAGATTCTGGGAATTTGGGGAACAATATGTAAAACAGAGTATATATCCTAGAGGAAGTTATAATATGGGAAGACATGGGAAAACAGATACGGATATGTGGTGAATGATACAGAAAACAAACACCATAATCCAAATGTTGAAGAAGTCATATGAAAGCACACATTAGGGAGCATTGGTTTCTGCCTATTAAAATGCCAGAAGTGCTACGCCACAGAAGGCTATATAATAGGTCTACATGTTAGCTAGATTTTTAAGAAAAATGCAAGTTTGGTAAGTAATGAAATGTATTATAAAGTCTTTCCAGGAGGACAAAATTTCATAAGCAAATCTATGAGATCTTATAACAATATGTCATATGGATTAGTTTCTTGTAGCTGTTGTAACAAATTATCACAAACTTAGTGGCTGAATACAACATAAATGTATTACCTTATGTTTTATGGGCCAGAAGTCCAAAATCAGTATCACTGGACTGGAGTGAAGTGTTGGCTGGGCCATGCTGACTTTGGGGACTAAAGGATGAATCCATTCCTTGCCTTGCCCAGCTTCTGGTCACAACCAACATTACTTGGCTTGTGGCTGCCTCACTCCAATGTATGCCCAGGGGATCACACTGCCTTCTTCTCTTCTTCCTCTTCTTCTGTGTGTCTTAAATCTCCCTTTGTCTCCTTCTTATAAGAATACATGTAATTCATAGTGAGCCCACCAAGACAATCTGAGAATGCCTTCACCTCAAAATTCTTTTCTTAATTACATCTGTAAAAACACTTTCTCAAATAAGGTAACATTTACACGTTCCATGGATTAGGACTGGATATCTCTGGGGGCCATTATTCAGTTTATTACCCTGTGTTTAGCAAGCCTTATGATCAGGCAGAATGTCCAGATTTCTGTACTGCTGTATTACACTGAGATCCACATAATTTTTATAGCAATTATTAAAACACTTCATCCAGTGATCAATAAATTGTATCACCAAATATTTCATAAATGCATGACTGTGATTTTCAAGGTTTATTATTTAGCAACTGGAACATTCTATAGCTGTGCAACAATCAATTCCTGAATATCTGACTTTGCTAATTTGGCAGCTACATTTCTACTGGAGAAAGGGAGAGAAAAGTGAAAGATTCAGGAGAAGACAAAATGGGGCATAATATATGAGGAGCAAAGCTGGGCAAGAAGAGCAGTGAGAAAGAAACAGAAGGGGGAAAGGGGAAAAAGGAGAATGGGGAGTCAAATTGTTTTGAAAATAAAATCAATTTTCTAATTAATACAACAACATATATATTCTAAAAAATAATATACTACATGAAAATCAAATCAGGCATAATTATTCTTAATATTTTAATAAATATTCTTTCAAACATGCTAAACAAAGGAGATTTTCAACACACACACCCACACACACACCCCTACACACACACACATACACACATACACGAAGCTTGTTTTGCATGAATGGGATCATTTTTTGTTATCTGTTTTCTTCCTTCAGCTCTTTGTTGTGCAGACCTTCACATGTTAATAAACATGAATATATATATAATTAATTATAATAGCATAGTGCTTTAATATCATTTAAGTTTTGTACAGTTTACTACAAAAGTAGATGATTCTTAAATAAGTATTTTTTCATGAATATTCTTACATTATTCTAAAGGTAGAATTGCTAGTTGAAGACAATGCTTGGTGCTTTCAATGTTTTTAATTATTCCCAATATAAAATGTGAAATATTTAGTTTGTATTTGTGGTTGCCAGCAACATTAAACATCTGATTCATTGGTTACTGCACATTTCAATATCTTCTGTAAATTCCATGTTTCTACAGTAACATTTTATATATTTCTTATTGATTCATTAACCAGCTCTCTATATTAGAAATACCAGCCCAACAATATATATTTTGGGATAATTTTACAAGTTTGTTGTTTTTGATAATTTTATTTATAGTACACATATGCCTTTAATTATTACAACACAATCATTACAAAATATATACAGCAGATTTGCATTTTCAATACTTAAGTATAGGGTGATTCTCAGAAGATGGTAGTAGTGGCAACATAGTATTATACTTTTGCTAAGTCTCTCTATATAAACACATAGAACAATAGGATAGTGCAGAGTGCAGAGGTAGTCTATAAGACCACCCTCCCTTTTAACACCAACTGCAAGTTTGTAGGTTCCCAAGAACATCTTCAGTTGTGATAATTCACTAGAAGGAATAATTCACAAGAAGGACTCACAGAAAACACTGAAAGGAGTTATACTCATGGTTGTGATTCATTACAGTGAAATAATGTAAATTAAAATCAGTCAAGAGAAGAAATGCATGGGAAGGAGTCCAGGAATGGACCACATGTGGAGCTTTTGGTTGTCCTCTTTCAGGGAGTTACTGATAGCATTAAGTTCTTCCAGAATAATATATGACAATATACTTGGAATACTGCCAACTGGGAAAGCTCACTTGAACCTTGGGTCAGAGATTTGACTGGGGTTGGTAAAACACATGGTTGACTGTTCACATGACTCAGTATAAGTCTGCAGCTTTTCTGGGGGTCGAGCTGATACCACATGACTCAAAGCCCCCATGAATGAATCACATAGTTATATTATGGGTTTGGTTCAAGGCTCTCAAGTAAGCAAAAACACTCTTATAAGACAGGACATTCCAAGGGTTTAGCGATCACCTCTCAGGAGCCAAGAGTAAAGGATAGAGCTATCTTTTGTTGAGGTCAATATTTTACTACACAGATAGAAAAACTAAAATTCCAAAGCAAATACTACCAAAATGTCTAAGTAACAAGATATCACCATGAATCTGTCTCTGTGCAGGAGAAAACAAAGGGAAGCAAGGGAATATGTGACAACCCTGAAAACTATAAAACTACTAATGGGTACTCATTTGAAAGCCAACTTAAGGACAGCAGATGATATTGGAAGGAATTTCAATTTCCCAATAGCAGTCAAGTATAGTTAATCCAACAATATAGATCAGTATGGGATGCTTAACATTTTCACAGGAGCGCATCCTTGGACGTCTTAGAGAATTAGATTCAGAAAGCCAGAAATGACCAGAGACACATTGTTATAAAGATATAAAAACACACATTCCATTAAGAGTATAAAAATGGGACGATATGCCAAAAATCTTTTACCTATTTTCAGTGATGATTTTAGTGCTAGTAATGGTGTTGTTACTCTGAAGTTATTTTTTGTAAGGCAAGATAAAAAAAACAAGTAATTATATGATATACAAATTCTATGAGTAAAGATATCTGTGAGACTTACTCTCCCTGTGGGAGAAAAAAAAACAGACATAGATAGAGGAAGCTAAATAAATATCCAATAATCACATCTGAATTGAAAACAGTGACTGAATCAGAACCAATTTGCATACCTAACATCCAGATCATGGCTTTGGTATATACATTCCTACGAAGTGGAAAATGGAAAAATATCGGATTCCAGACTGAAGCAAGAGAAGTACAAAATATGCCTAGAGTATCTGTAATATTTGACAGCAAAAGACTATCAAAGACTAATGGAGTTATATTTAAACTATAATCGTCCCTCAATAGAGATGGGAAATATGTGAAAAATTGGTTCCAGGATGCCATGCACACCGAAATCCCCACATACTCAAATCCATCATTTGGTTCTATGGAACTGGCTGATTTGAAAAGTCAGCACTCCACTAAGCAAGTTTCACATCCCCCAAATACTGTATTTTCCACTGAGTTTTGATGAAAAAAATCCGTGTGTAACTTTCCCATCCCCAAAATACTGTATTTTCCATCTGTGTTCGGACCTGCACTGTTCAAACTTGTGTTCCTTAAAGGTCAACTGTATATTGTTGCTAAATTAAAGAGACTACAATGGCCACAGAGTAGCAAATTGAGCCCCAATACATAACACGTCTGCAAATGATCAAAACACATAAAATATATTTAAATCTATCAGTTCATAAGGATACTAAAACTCTAACTAGTTAATTTGGAGGATGCAAGGGAACCATCTTTTTATTTTCAGAACAAGTAACTAAAAAAAATAGTTTTTAAAAAATTACCCTGACACTCCTATCCAAACTGTACCACTAGGTAACCATATAAAAGATAAAGTAATGTTTCTCCTTAAAAGTGCATTTCAACAAATAAATGATGAAAGAATGATAGAACTGGAATATCATTATTTGGCTACCTTTATTAAATTAATAGATTGAGTCATTAAGACTCAGTGTCTTCCAACATCACATGAAAGAAGAGATAATCAGACATCATGAGTTAGCTTTGTCCAGAAGAAATATAATGCAGATGCACATATGTAATTTTAAATTTTCTAGTAACCTCATTTTAAAAATGTACTAGTCCTCAAAATCCAGTGTATATCCTACATTAATCATATGCTTCCATTTACATATGAGCTCCCATTTCAAGGGTTCAATAGCCGCATATGATAGTAGCTACTATATTGGATGGAGCCATCATGTGCTTCATAATACAAAAAAGTAAAGCACTTAAAAAGAAGCATTATCAAGATAAATTGAACTGTAATCTGAGCTTCTATATCATAATTTATAGAAACTATATATATATAAAAGGAACACTAGAGTGGCAACATGTAAATGAACTCACTAACATGCAGACTGTAAGAAACCCCACGGAACAAGTAATATGGTTGCTTTAAGAGATAAATTGAGGCTGTAGACGGTAGCTCACGCTTGTAATCACAGCACTTTGGGAGGCCGAGGTAGGCAGATCACGAGGTCAGGAGTTCAAGACCAGCCTGGCCAACATGGCAAAACCCCGTCTCTACTAAAAATACAAAAATTAGCTGGGCATGGTGGTGCTTTCCTGTAATTCCAGCTACTTGGGAGGCTGAGGCAGGAGAGCTGCTTGAACAGGGACCTGGGAGGCAGAGGTTGCAGTGAGCTGAGATTGCACCACTGCACTCCAGCCTGGGCTACAGAGCGAGACTCCATCTCAAAAAAAAAAAAAAAAAAGAGAGAGAGAGAAAGAGAGAGAGAGAGGGAGAGAGAGAGAGAGGGAGAGAGAGAGAGAGAAATTGCAAGGGGAAAAATAAGGCATAGAGAGAGAAGTAATTATTAAAAATGAGACTTAAAAGACATTACAAACAGGAAAAATTAAAGACTTCTGGAAAAGATGGAACCATACTTACCCTTTCACCTGAAACTCTTGAACAAACAAACAATAGTTTTTAAGACGCCAGTCATTAGGGAAAAAAAGGCAGTGATTCTTAAGAGAAGGGCAACATAAGGTAAGCTCAACTATTGAAAAAAAAAAAAGGAAAGATACACAGGTTGCCAATAATAGGAATGGAAGAGGTGACATCAATAGAGAGTCTACAGATTTTAAGAGAAGATATGAAAATGTCATAAACAACTTATGCCAATAAGTTTGACAAATACTTTGGAAAAATATCAAACTTCACTCAGGAAGCAATAGCTTATGTAGACCAATAATCTATTAAAAATGAATTTATAGTTAAAAACCTTCCCACAAAGAAAACTCCAGGCCTATATGGCTTCACTGACAAACTTGGCTAAAAATTTATGGAACAAATAATACCAATTTTACACAAACGCTTCAAGAAAATTGAAGAGTAGGAAATATTTTAAAATTCATTCTATGATGCCAGAATTTTATATCAAAATGACAAAAAGACATTACAAGAAAACTGTAGATTCATAATCCTCATAAGCATAGATGTAAACATTCTTAACAAAATATTAGCAATATTTTAAAAAATGGAGCATAAGCAAGTGGGGTTTACCAGGAATTCAAGGTTGATTTAACATTTGAAAAAAATTAATGTTAATGTAGTCACCATATTAACAAACTAAAGTATAACCATATAATCATCTTGATAGACACAGGAGAATCATTTGTTGATATTCAACAAATAGTTCTGATTTTTTAAAAACAATACAAAGCAAAAAGCTTCTCTGAAAACTAGGAACTTCCTCAGCTTGATAAAGGACATCTACGAAAAGCTTCAGCTAAGATTATACTTTATGGTGAAAGATGAAATGCTTTTCCCCCAGGAAAATGGCAAAGATATCTGATCATTCCAGTTTTATTCAATATTGTAGTGGAGGTTTTATCTAGTAGAATAAGGAAATAAAATAAAATAAAGAGCATCCATAAAGGAAGAAAAACATCAAAGTGTTTTATTTAGCAGATAACATGATTATATATAAATAAAATCATATGGAAGCCAAAAAAAGTTACTAGAACTAGTAGTAGGCAAGTTTAGCAATTCAGCAGAATACAAGATAAAGAACAATAATTGATTTTATTTCTATATACTTCAATGAACAATCAGAAATTTAAAATGTTAAAGGCCACTTACAATAGCATCAAAATATGATACATTTAAAGTTAATCTAGCTAAAGATGTATTATCTTTCCTCGCTGAGAAACATTCAAGATCTAAAAAAAAATGTACTTTGTTCATGGATTAGGGACTCAAAATATTTAAGATTTCAGTTACCCCAAAATTTATCTATAGATTCAACACATTCTCAATCAAAATTCCAGCAGTTTTCTTTTTGGTAGAAATTGACAAGATGATTCTAACACTCAGATGAAAATGCAAAAGGATATCGATTAGCCAAAACAAATTTCAAAATTAACATTTGGAGGACTAACATTACCTGACTTTAAAGCTTCTTATAAGCTACAGTTATCAAAACCATGACAAATTTTCTTAAAGATAAAGGACAAATCAGTCAATGGAACATAGACGGTACAGAAATAGATTTACGTATATATTTAATTGAGTTTTGGTAAAGGTACAAAGGCAATTCAATAGAAAAATAAGAAGATTCTTTTCAATAAAATAGTGTTATAATAATTAAATATTCATAAGTTAAAAAGTTAACTTCAATCCATATATCACACCACATACAAAAATTAACTCAAGATGGATTACAGGTCTAAATTTAACACCTAAAACCATAACTGTTCTGGGAGAATACGGAGGATAAAATCCTTGTGACCTTGGATAAGGCAAAGATTTCTTAGATATGACACCAAATACATTATGCTTAAAAGAAGATATTGATAAATTGGACTTCACCAAAATTAACATCCTTTTCTTTTCTAATAACTTAGTAAGAAAATAAAAAGAAAAGCCACCACTTTGAAAAAATATTTTTGATTCTTATACCTGATAAAGGCCTTTTTTCTAGAATAAATTAAAAACTCTCAAAACTTAGTAATAGAAAAGAGGCCGGGCACAGTGGCTCACACCTGTAATCCCAGCACTTTGGGAGGCCGAGGCGGGTGGATCACGAGGTCAGGAGATCAAGACCATCCTGGCTAACAAGGTGAAACCCCATCTCTACTAAAAATACAAAAAATTAGCTGGGCGTGGTGGCAGGTGCCTGTAGTCCCAGCTACTCGGGAGGATGAGGCAGGAGAATGGTGTGAACTCGGGAGGTGAAGCTTGCAGTGAGCGGAGATCATGCCACTGCACTTCAGCCTGGGCAACAGAGTGAGACTCTGTCTCAAAACAAAACAAAACCAAACAAAAAAAACTTAGTAATAGAAGACAAATAGCTCAAATTATTAAATAGGAAAAAAACCCAGATTCTTCACTAAAGAAGATACGTGCTTGACAACATAAACACATGAAATAAGGTAAACATCATTAGTCATTCAGAAAAGGAAAATTAAAACTGAAATGCAATGCACAACACACTTATTAGAATTATTAAAATTGAAAAGACCAACAATATGAAGTGCTGTCAAGAACAGAGAGAAAATGAAATTCACACATTCTGCTGGTGAGAATGTAAAATGCAACCATCACTTTGAAAACAGTTCAGCAATTCCTTAAAAAGCTAAACATATACCTACATGTGATCCAGCCTTTCCACCCTGAGATATTTATCACAGCAAATAAAAGCATATGCCCATATAAAATCTTGTACATGAATGTTCATAGCAGCTATATTTGTAATAGCCAAAGACTAGAAACAATTCAAATGTCCATCAACACATAATAATTATATATTGAAAAACAATATGATAAACAAAATAAAGTATATGCATACAGTGGAAAACTACTCAACAATAAAACAAATAAACTTGATGCATGCAAAAAATCAATGAAAATCAAAATTATCATGCTGAGTGAAAGAAACCAGACAAAAAAAATACACACATACTGTATGATTCCATTTATATAAAATTCTAGAAAATGCAAGCTACTCTATAGTGATGGAAAGAAGATCAGTAGTTGCCAGGAAGTATGGGTGGCAGTGAAGGGTGTGGAGGCAAAGAAATCAAAGAGACATAATGCAAATTTTGGCCCTGATAGATATATTTATTATTTTGATTGTGGGGTGCTTTCATAGGTATAATTACATGTAAAAAAATCAAATTGCACTCTTCAAATATGTGTCGTGGATTATATATCAATTATACCTAAAAGAAACAGTTAAAAAATAAGCTACAGATTAGATATGCACATTTGGGTGATGAAACTACAAAGACAATTAAGATGATTTCCATAGAAATCAGGGTGCTAATTATCCTTAGGGACAGAGAAGAGGCTATCTTTTGGGAAGGGCACATTGAGGGCTTCTGGAGTTGCTGATAAGATTGTATTTCCTGACATGGTAGTGGCTATTCAGGTGTTATATTTATCTTAATCCATTCAGCTCCATACTTTTTTATATAGTTTGGATATTTCTCCCCACCAAATATCATGTTGAAAGGTGATACAATGTTGGAGGTAGGGCCTGATTGGAGGTGTTTGGGTTATGGGGGCAGATCCCTCTCCCTCCTGAATGGCTTAGTACCCTTCCCAAGATAATGAGTGAAGTCTTGCTCTATTAGTTCCCATGAGATCAGATTATTAAAAAGAGCCTGGCACCACCTTTCCCTTTCTCTCTTGCTCTTTCTCTCTCCATATGACTTTTATTAATTTAAAAAACTTTTTTCAACTAGATAATTCGATATTTAAAAACTACACAAAGCATCATTTTCAGAAATATTCATAATAAAATATTTCTTTCTTTGTAATTTCCAAACTGTCTACAAACAGTATGACAATAATAAGATTTCATAAACTCACTGAAGATGAACATCATGAAATATTGAATAACTACCAACTGCTAACTAAAAGTTGGATCTGTGCTACAGTGCCAACTGTATAAAATAACATATGGAAAAGACAAGGTCTAACAGGAAATATTTTGAGAAAGAATGCTTTTGTCCCAGAATTGATGACTAGTGCTTAAAAGGTAGGAACAAGGAAAGATAAATTCCCCCCAATCTAAAACTCACTCAAATTTCTCTCAGCTTGTTAATAAGTTTCCCAACAGGTTCTCTGTATCAGCGCATTTTCAGACTGCTATAAAGAACTTCCTAAGACTGGGTAATTTATAAACAAAAGAGGTTTAATTGACTCACAGCTCTGCATGCCTGGGGAGGCCTCAGGAAACTTACAATCATGGTGGAAGGGAAAGCAGGAACATCTTACATGGTGGCAGGCAAGAGAGACAGTGTGTGAAAGAGGAACTTGCCAAACATTTATAAAATCATCAGATCTCGTGAGAATTAACTCATTGTCACAAGAACAGCATGGTGGAAATCATCCTCATGATCCAATCACCTCCATCCCTTGACACAGGGGATTATAGGGATTACCATTCGAGATGCAATTTGGGTTGGACACAGAGTCAAACCATATAATTCCACCCCTGGCCCTTCCACATCTCACACCCTTTTTACATATAAGCAATTCACACTACCCTAGCAGAGGTTCTCCATGAGGGCTTAGCCCCTGCAGCAGACTGTCTGGAGGTCCAGGCATTTTCATACCTCCTCTGAAATCTAGGCAGAGGTTCCCCAACCTCAGTTCTTGACTTCTGTGAACCTGTATGCCCAATATCACATGGAAGACACCAAGGCTTGTGGCTTGCACCCTCTGAAGCAACAGTTCAAGCTATACCTTGGCCCCTTCTAGCCACAAGGGAAGCTGGGGTGCCTAGGATGCAGAACACCAAGTCCCCAGGCTGCACAGAACAGTGGGACCCTAGGCCCAGCCCACAAAACCATTTTTCCCTCTTAGGCCTCTGGGCCTGTGATGAGGGAGGCTGCCTTAAAGATCTCTGACATGCCCTGGAGACATTTTCTCCATTGTCCTGGTGATTAATATTTGACTCTGCATTACTTATGCAAATTTCTGCAGCTAGCTTGAATTTCTTCCTAGAAATTGGGGTTTTATTTTCTATTTCATTGTCAGGCTGCAAATTTTCCAAACTTTTATGCTGTGCTTCCCTTTTAAAAACGAGTTGCAATCTCAGATCATCTCTCTCAAGTTCAAAGTTTCACAGATCTTTAAGTGAAGGGACAAAATGTCACCAGTCTCTTTGATAAATCATAGCAAGGGTGAACTTTGCTCCAGTTCCCAATAAGTTCCTCATCTCCATCTGAGACCATCTTGGCCTGGACTTCATTGTTCACATCACTATCAGCATTTTGGTCCAAACTATTAAACAAGTCTCTAGGAAGTTCCAGACTTTCCCACATCTTCCTGTCTTTTTCTGAGCCCTCCAAACTGTTCCAAACTCTGCCTGTTACCCAGTTCCAAAGTTGCTTCCACATTTTAAGGTATCTTTATAGGAGTACTCCACTCACTTGGTACGACTTTATTGTATTAGTCCATTTTCACACTGTTATAAAGAAATACCCAAGACTGGGTAATTTATAAAGGAAAGAGGTTTAATTGATTCACAGGTCAGCATACCTGGGGATGCCTCAGGAAACTTACAATCATGGCAGAAGGGGAAGGAGGCATGTCTTACGTGGTGGCAGGCAAGAGAGTGAAAAATCCAGGGGAAACTGCCATTTATAAAACCATCAGATCTCGTGAGAACTCACTCATTCTCATGAGAATAGCATGGGGGAAACCACCCCCATGATCCAATTGCCACCCACCCTTGTCACATGGGGATTATGGGGATTACAATTCAAAATGAGATTTGGGCGGAAAAATAAAGCCAAACCACATCACTCCGTAACCCCAATCATCACCCTAGCCCATCCTTGCCTGATGGCTCCTAAAATACTAGAAGGCAGAAAGAGAGGAACTGATGATGATGATGATGTTGTAAGAGATATCATCTTCTTTATTAAGAGAATCACCACACCCACCACCATCACAAAACTAACTGAGAGGAATCTTCGAGAGAAAAAGTTGTACAGGTTGGAGGTACTTTCAAAATGAGGAGATAGGCTGACTACACCTGACAGACAGGTCACTGAGCTGAAATTAGCAGACCCACCCTGGAGTCGGTCTTGGTGCAGTGATAGGGGCACACCGGGGTAAAGTGATAGCCTTGTCAAAAACTTGACAGGTGTTCCCAGAGTGTTAGGGACATATATGGAGGTATAATGTGGAACCTATCACTCACCTGGAGATTTCTTAAGATGAAAGGTTTGAGGAAGTAACCTCTGCCTAGGGCTAAAAAAGAACTGTAGTACAGTACAATGGGCTCAGAGTAAAATGTCCCTCATGTCCCTTGGAGGGCATGAAAGAGGAACCTAGTGTTTTTCATGGTTCCCTATAAAGAAGCACAGAGTTTGAGGAAATGAAGATGACATAGAAGACACCCTTAGATATCCAGGAAAGTATGCCTCCCTTTAGTTCAACAGCATAGAGTTGAGGTTGGGATATGGATAATATCTCATCACTGGATTTTCTAATGCCCTTTGCACAGAGGCAGATAACTAAGGTCTTGTCAAGAAAATGTAAATCAAAGTGATGTGTGCAATTTCTGCCTCACTTTCTTAAGAGGAAGTTTCTGAGAAGAGTCCTTCATTCTGTTCTCCTCCCTAATGGCAAAACAGCAGTAACCATAGAAAGCTTATATCCTGTATAGAGACATATCAATCCATGTGTATAAGTAACTGTGGAGCTGTCTTGGAACACACACTGCACTACTGTGCAAGAAGGAATAACCTTTGTTTTGTTTGAGCTACTGAATTTTGAAAATTCTTCATTATAGCTCTTTTGAGTATGTACTCTCTCTAATCCAGACAGCTTAAGTTATGGGCCAAAACTCAGATAGGATAATTGGACTACTGGCAGGATGCAAAGAAGTTGTAAATGCCTGCTCAAAATGATACATACTTTGGTATTTCTAGCAAAGTGAGTCCAATTATGGAATCAAACCACTGACATACACATTTTCTTTTGAATATTCAAATATTATTTTGCTTCCAATTGGCAAATCATTATAAAATATCTCAAACACTTTACAGCAAACATATACTAAGTGCTAACTTGGTTTGCCCCACAAGGTTATAGATAATTCCAGGAGGAGAGTAGGAAGGAGAATAAAAATCTCCAGGGAGGATACCAATCATTAAACTGAGATTTTGTGTTTGCAGAGCCAAGACATAGCTATGGGGGAATACCACTGAGGAGCATTAAAGAAACATCAGGTTGACTAATAATAAGAATTTCCATCCAAATCCATCTACCAAATCAAGTGAATCTGCAATAAACATAAATCCACATGCAGTAGTGTCTCTCTGGGGAAATCTAACATTTTCCCACCAGAAAGGATTGTTCTGCATAGCAACCATTTTATGGGGAGGATGACAGCTTATCTGTCTTTGCCTGCTGAGATCAGATCAGAATGTCAGTTACGCTCCCAGTCAAGACTGCTCTTCAGGCTAAAGGTGGTGCCAATTTGCCAAAAGGGAACATTCTCTTAGCCATACCATCAATTGGCAGGACATTAAGAATAAGTTCAGCCAATACAAATGCAATGAAATCTCTTAATACATTTATAGAAAACATTTTAAATTCAAAGTTCAGAAAAAAAAGCACACGATTTAAAGATGTTCTTTAGTAACAGGATACCCTCAGTAGGATTAGTGATTTCTTTAAGAATAATTTGTTTTATTATTATTTAGAGACAGTGAGCAAGAAATGGAGCTGTAACTAATTTTCTGAAGCCTTGCAGGTTTAAAATATTTTGTATTTTTAGCCAGGAAGCTCTTTTAGTAAAAAATAATAATAGCAATTATTTCAATGTTTTCAGGATCAGTTAGTATTGAAATGAAGATGAATGGTTCATTTGGTTCTTTATATTATTCATACCTACAGAAGAGTTTCTCCTTTGTGATTATCTAGAATAATATATTTTAAGTTTTCTAGACTCACCATTATAATGAAGCATTGGTACTGTTGTCATATGCTGTGTGTCAACATGCAAATGGCTTGGTTTTTGTTCAATGCCAGTGAATAAAATAAAACAATTAGTACAAAAAACTTTCTCTGGAAATCTCTTTCATCCTACTTACACCATGAACCCAATTAAAGTATTCAATTAGGAGGAAACTAAATTGCACTGATGTGTTTCCTACAACACTGTTACAAAAGTATGGTTCTATGTAGATTCTTAGTTAACTTGCCAGACAGAAGCATACAACCCAATGTGAACTTGAATTAGCATTAGAACTCACTTTTTGCTTTTCTTTTTGAGGTTTTGGTTTGTGTTTGTTTTTCACAACCTTGGTGGTACATTTATCTTATGTAAGAGCAAATGTCACTCTCCTTCAAATAACAGAAAGTATTCCATAATATGCATCTTTCTATATGCAACATTATGAAGAAAAAATATTTTTACTAAGATATTGGGTTCCTTGTGTACTGAGAACTCATTACTTTTCCCAAACATTTAGTTATGTTTTTTATTGATTAAGTGAGGATGTGGGCAAAAGGTTAGACCTCAAGCAGAGGCACAGCACAGCAGAGATTACTTATAAGGAAAACCAAATTGTATTCTGGAGGAATTTATCAGCACATATTAGTGTGGTGGGACACAAAGGTGTCAGCTAATGGAAGCAGTAATATTCACAATGTGATTTCATATTTCTAAAATTTGTAGTGGTGTTGCTAAACAATATAAGGAGCAGAATGACACTTTCTCAAAATTGGAATGAAAAGTTAAGAAGATTATTTGACTGTTAATTATACTATAATATTTTATATGCACTAATATTATCACCAGGTGTATATGTCCTCCTTATCTGCCACCTGATAATATTAAAGCCTTTAGGGTCATCGAATTGTGAATACTAAAAAATGAGGAGGAGGAAAAACAATTTTAGGCAACAGCAGAACAACAAAAACAAATAGGAACTTCAAAATTGCATGAATTTTGTCCTCACACAAAATTTTCCAAATGTAAATGCAACTAAGCATTTTTGTTCTGAATGCTTCATCTCTATAAAGCTTCTAGAAAAACCTTCATACATGACATGGGTTTACATATTTTAAAGTTTTTTTCCTTTTTAAACTGAAATAAATTTTGTTCATTTGAAAATACTTAAAAGTGCAAATAAGCAATATATACATTGTAAACCATCCCAAATCTCATCACCCACTTTGTTCAAGAAGATGTATGCTTGAACTCTCAGGTAGAAAGAAACTTTTTCTTCCACTCCTGGTTTTCTGGACGAATGACTCACCCATCACACACCTCTGTCCTCTGTCTAAGCCTTCCTTCACTCAGTCTCTTGGGAGCGGAGTGATTGTCAAATAAGAATAAGTTGGCATGTTTATCTCAAATCCTCCTACCTCCAAGTTCTGAGGCCCCTCTGGTAGGGTGAGGGGAGTCGCTGCCTTGGTCCAGTGCGTACATCTACCTAATCTTGGGGTTTAATTCACAGGGCCAATGACTCTGACACAAGCCACACCCTCCCATTGGGCCATAATCAATACTGAAAGTGATCCTAGAGGTACCTCCCTTAATTTTGTTTCTCAGCTTACCCAGAGCCCAGGAATACTTAATAGAAGTGCCATTTAATTGGCTCCCTAAGAGACTGAACTGTTATCTACCTTTTTACAGTAATAGAAATGAGTTTATAAATAACATAAAAACTTAAAAACTGGTCATTACAGGCCAGAGAAATTTTATAATTAGCCCTGCTCTGTAATCCTAGTTAAATAACAGAAACTCTACAGGCTTCTGATTCTTAATACAGGAGTTGGCAGACTTTTTTTTATAAAGAGCCAAATAATATACATTTTAGATTTTTTGCACTATTGAGTTTTTGTCACAACTACTTATCTCTGTCTTTTTAGTGAGAAAACCTCCACAGACAATACTTAAACCAATGGGTGTGGCTGTGAGCCAATAAAATTTAATTTACATAAATAAGTGGCCTACAGATTTGGCCTGCAGAAAGTAAACGGTTTGCCAGCCTCTGAATATGAACTGAGAGAACTGAAAGACATGAGCACTAAAGACTGCCCAACACGATGTGGCTTTCTATTTTAATTCCTGAATAAACTAACTGTTACTCTGTCCCTGGATTTTTTGTTTTCTCTTTTACTTTATATTATTTTTAGGGAAGTAGCTGAGGGAAATGTGACATTTGGGGACTAAGAAATTAAATTGTATAGCATATCGGATCCTGTCATTTCAAGAGAAATGAAATAACGGGCAATGCTGTAAAGCTGTCCTGTAAATAGTTCTGGGTCTAGTTGAGAAATTCAAACCCATGAAGTGGTTTGTTGTCTGCTCCGTCTACGGGGTAACTGGGGCCATAGGATGGCTGACATTTCAATTGCAGGGTCAATAATTTCAGAAATCTCCCTGTTAGTTGGCACTCACTCTTAGCAGATTGGACCTGATAATACTGATGAAACAAGCCAGCTCTCCACTTCCCAGCTTTCATAGATAGGCTATTTAAGTCCAGTGACATCTTCCACTTCATATCCTGTTTTCAGTCTCTGTAGAATAAACCTTTAGCTCACCCTGGTTTAATGTAGGGGTTGAGAAAAAGCAGGAGATATCAAAGAAAAATTGCATGGAACAAACTCAAACGGGGCAAAAAGACTTTAGTCAAGACTACTGCAATAGGGGAAAGCGAATGAAGTTAATTCCACTGAAACAGAAGACAGGAGGGTTTTTAAGCACTGAGATGAACTACTGGAAAAACATTGGAGGACACTAGTATGAAAGGTTAATCAATAAAATGTGTTGAACACATTGTTATTCCTGAGTTTGCCAATGTTTTTCTCTATTATGAGGTCATCTGTGTTTGTTAATGGGTACCCATTGAAGTTAGGCTCCTATCTTCCCCATAGAAACTGAGAGATAGAAGTGTTATCTTCCTCCAAAGGGATGATTCCCTGGTCTTTGAGAAAGACATTCCTGGTTGTAAAACTAACAAGATGCAGGGAGAATATTTATATGCATTTCAAAGAAGCTTAAAAAGAATTTGCAATTAGAAGTTTTCTGAAGTAAATGTTCTAAGAAAACGGAGGTACTAGAGTTAGAGCTAGAGTTAGAAAGGAGCCTATTTAAAGTTCAGTCAAGTGAGGAGAACATTAAGATTGTCTTGACCAGAGTCAATCAACTAAATTTAAACTTCCATAACCTTGGGAGAGTTATTTAAAAGCTTTACTATATATGTAACAGCCCATGTGTGAGATTTTTATATTTGTTTCTTGTTTATGTAAACAAATAAATAGTGAAGCAAATAAATTTCTGTTTATTTTTCACAACAGTTCATTGGTTGGTACTATCATCTCCATTTTTTAAAGAAAGAAATGAGAAAGAGTAAGGTACATATCAAGACTA
Source organism: Homo sapiens (assembly GCF_000001405.40). Taxonomy (NCBI): domain Eukaryota; kingdom Metazoa; phylum Chordata; class Mammalia; order Primates; family Hominidae; genus Homo; species Homo sapiens. Next base: position 52,672,971 of record NC_000002.12, read on the forward strand.
TAGCACTAATAAGTATAAAAAATCAAAATTTTATCCCACATATAATTCTATGTCTTCTCTCATCACTGCACCAAGCTATTTCTCAAAGAAAAAAATTATCCTGGGATTCTTCTAGAACATAAAGAAAAATAACAATCATGATATTATAAAATCAATATTTCCCAGGTCTTCTGAAGATAATTTAGAGCTGTTATAGAAATTATAATTCTGTTTTACAGGCGGGTTTCTCAACCATGGCACTATTGACATTTTGAGTCAAATAATTCTATGTTGTGTGGAGGCTGCCCTTGTCCTGTGTACTGTAGAATGTTTCAAAGATTCCTGACCTCTACCAACTAGATTCCAGTAGCACTCCCGTGTTGGGACAACCAAAAAAATAAAAAGTCTCTAGATATTGTCAATGTCTCCTGAGGGTAAGATATCTCCTATTGAGAGCCATTGCTTTAGAGGAATGTTCTTCTATAGTATTTTCAGTGATGCAACCCTTCAAACAAAGAAATATTTTACAGAACACAGATATTTAAAAATTAAACGAAGTAAAGAAGATGCCCTAGAAGACAGAGCTCTACTCAATTCATTTTGTTCTCCCCTTCTCTCACCAACCTTCTGAGATACTTATACCAACATGACTCTAGAAACGGCTGCTCAAACAGAACTTACATCCTTCTCGTGAGATGTTGCCAGACATAGTTCTACAGTACATTCTATCTACCCTTCACCTCATTAAAGATAGATTTGCCGTTAGTGCTTTTGGCAGGGTAGGTAAACAGAGCTATTATCAGATTGTTTTTGTTTTTGTTTTTAAAACCTTATCCAGTCCAGCAAAAGGATTCCAACTGTTCAAGAAAATGGCTGTTATATTCACTTGGGTGAATCTAGTAACTCATTTGCCACAGAGCTATTTCCAACGGTGATGCTCCCAGCATGCAATGGATCTGGCTCAGATTTCATTAAGGGCAAGACGGATCCTTGGCTCAGCTGGTCCCAAACTTAGTCTGCAGTCTATACGCATTTTAGATGGAAATCTACCTTTTCTTTGTGGTTATTGTTTGATAATGGCTTTTTCTTTCATTACAATTTAAATATTCTACAACTACCTGTTTTACAAGGTGAAAAATCCATAGAGTAGGTGAGTTCTTATAGACAGAATGTTTTACATTCACCAGTCTTCAGAAATACTGGAATAAATTAAATTTCACGCTGACTGGCTAAATCCAGAAAGGTCAATAGTGTTTAGTATTCGGTTATTCTTTTCCAAAGCTTATTCACATTGCTAGACCCATATTGAATGTTCCTGTTGTAAAAATCATTTATTTTAAAGTACCTCATACAGACCAGAAAGTGAATATTGTAAGTAAAGACAAGACAGTGGTACTGCTTAGCAAAACATGCAGTTTATGGGGTATAATTTGATGTAATGAAATGTCCATGTTAACCCCCAAAAGAGTTGATGCTAAACTGCCATGGTGCCTGAAGTCATGAAAAGTTTCTTTCCTGGAAGGGACAATGCCTTTAGCCACCAATAATTCAAAGTGAATGAATACACTCATTTTCAGTTTTTTCACTTATCAAATACTTGATAAAATATAACAAAGTTTAAAAAACAGGTGAATTATTTGTTTTGAGAGAAAAGGGACATTTATCAAGTTCCCACAGAAGTCCTAAACACATATCTTGAATAAATGTGAAAGTATCAGAACCTTTTCTTCTAAAGTTAGCACAATTAAGGGAAGACTTTCATTTATTTTCCTTTATTTTTTGAAAGAAAAACTCTTAAAACAAATATCAAGTGGTCCAAATTTGAGCCACTTTAAGAATTCTCGAGTATTATTCTATCATTGTTGTTAACCTAGAATAGGAAGACTGAGTTGAAAGAGTGAAATAAATAGAGGCTAATGTTCATCATAATTCATGACTAAAGCACAAAGTATAAATTCGCTTTTGATAAATTTGACATGATTATTTTTCTGTAGCTACTTCTTTTACTAAAGGTTTGTTGGTAAGTTTTTGTTATTGTTTTTATCTATTTAAGTCCCAGATTTGAAACTATCAATGAAACGTCTCCTACTCATAACTCATAAAATCAATTATTCTTTTATTCACAATAATAAAGCTCACTCCTGGTGAGACCAATTCAGGCATACAATCAAGTCAAAATCTTAATTTTCCTATTAACCTCTACTTCATCTTTCAACTATTACAAAGTAACTCAGGCTATAATCATGACTCTCACACAACTATAAAATTAACTCATGTCAAAGATTCTGTTTAACGTATTAAAGGGTCAATCAGAACAATGTCATAACTGGTTCAAAGAAAAATTCAAAGTCACATATACTGGCAGGTAAGAAATGCTAAAATAAACTTACTATAGATGGAAAACTGACATATTACACAGTGGGGGAAGGAGAATTGTCCATTGTAATTCCACCAAAAAAATGTATTTGTATGTCTGTGAATAAGAATTATTTGCATCCCTATCAGTTAAAGCTGCAAAATAGCTCAAAGATAATGAAAGGCACAGAGACCTATAGAATCAGATAACCTGGAAGAGTGTTCCTGGACAATACCGTATTTTCCATGGAAGAAAACTGGTAATCTTTTTGGTTCCTATTAAGTTCTTCCACAATATTTTCCTATACAAACATCTTTTTTCCTTTTCCCAGACCAGCATAATAAAATCTGAAATGAATATTCTCCTTTATTATGTTTTTAATGAAGGAACTAGTACTTGAGTTAAGCAATTCAATGCTTTGCTGGCAATTGATATGAAAAGGGATTGGACAAGGTGAGAAATACTCATTTTTCATCTGGACACAGTGAAAGAATTTATAATTTTGTCAATGACTCTTCCATTTCCTACTTAGCCACAAAGCAGACACACAGTTTTTGTATTTTAAAATGCTGATTGATACGTATTGGCCTCAATGTGCAGTCACGTATAAGAATTATTGGTGTAAAATATTTGTGGAAATCAAATTCCTGACTTTGTCACATAGCTTTGAATCTAGAGGTAACCACATGATCCAGTTCTGCTTAATGAGATACAAGGTCAATTATTTTAAGAGAATAATTCTGGAAAAGCTGTTGATTTTCTCCTAAAGCATACCACACATGGTGGGCCTTATTTTATAGTCTTTTTTTATCTACCTTAAATGAAGATATAATGGCTAAAGATCTGGTAGCCATCTTGCCACTGTGATGAGACAAGCACAAGGATAAAAACTAACAGTCTAAGGTAAGCATGACACAGTAGAAAAATAGAATCAGCAGCCCTGATAGAATTGTTCCATAGCTGAGTCAATGCTGGAAGCAACTGCCAACATACAGATTTTTTCTAAAAGCAATTGTTTCTTTTAAACCACATTTATTTTGAATTTAAACTACTGTTATTTGCAGCTGAAAGCATCGCCCGGTGATACATTTTGTCTTCCACAATGCATGGCTTTCTGTACTCATTCCTACATAATAAAATCAAAATCTGCAACACAGCAATTGCCACTCATAACATTCTTAAAATTTGGTCTCTCTCTCTCTTGCCCTCTCTTCTTCTTCTCTCTCTCTCTCTCTCTCTATATATATATACACTCACACATAGAGAAATTATATTGATAAATCAGACTTTAAACATTATCTTGCAACTTGTTTTTTACCTATTTTCTTTATATTCTATAATTCTAAATTCTAAAATGTAACTCTTAATGCCTACTATTCTATTAGATGGATGGACTTTCATGAGATTAGCCGATCTGCCATAGAAGCTTTGTTTCAATTTTTTGTTAGCCATTTTAGTATAAGGCCAATCTTATATTTAATCTTTATGAGCATCTGTAAGTCTTTTCCTAGAATAAAGTTTTAGAAATATAATTACTAGAAGAAAAAATAGGCAGGATTTTGAACCTATTAATACTTGTTATGAAATTGAGTCCCAAAAAGTTAAGGATGATTCTACAGGAGATTTCCATATCCTCTTCATTCTTACCAATAATGAGTAATATAATGTTGTCATGTTACTATTATCATTCTATTATATTCTTTAAAAAATCTGACATAACAAAAATCCCCATTTATTTATTACAATTCATTTAAGATCAGTGAATGTGAATATGATTTACATTTTTACAACATTTAATCTTAATGAAATCCAAGAACATATCTATTTTTGTTGTTGTTTTCATTCCATAGATCTAAAACATATTTTCTTTTGTTCATTCTTTGGAATTTTGTTATTTTTTCTTATTTCATACTTTAGCCTAAATTCTGTTTTGATATAAGCATTGACTTTTTTTAAGAAATGGCCTGTTTGCCCTCTCACCGTCAACATAGGTATTAATCTGATTATCTTCTCAGATTATAACTGAGAGGATTGATAGTATAAATTCAAAACCACCCTGCTCTCTGATAGCATTTGAAGTCCATATAGCCTCAGCAGAGTAACTTTTACCACTATCTGCTCCATGCTTTGCCTGCTCCTTCTCCTGTGTGTAATGAAACTATTATCTTAAAAATATCTTTGTTTGACCTCTACTAAAGCATCTATAGTCCTAAGGGTGTGTCCGTACTGTGACCTCTATAACGATCATGAATGAAGGATGGCATCTGAGTTATGTTTTTAGAAATATAAGGGTAAGGTCTAACACTAGAAGTCAAGGTGAAAGTATTTGTTGATTCGTTTTGTTCCACTCTAAGTTTTTAAAAGCTTGCTTGTCTCAAGACTCAACCTTCTGTGATCTTTACACATGATAAGTAGTTTTCTTATAACTTATGTATTATCTTTAACATTATTGTTGGAAGTGCTCTCTCAAACCGAACCCTCATGAATATTTAGCATGGCTTAACTTACGATCAAAATTGGCTCCTGTGCTTTGTTATTGACTTATTAGGACTCACTTTAGGGCATTCCTCTAAGTAAATAGTTCTTTATTAGCATAATAATAGAGCATTTGTATTGATCTCTTCAATTTTTTTTTAAATTTTTCTGACTTTGGATTTGACACCAAAGCAAATATGGCTAGGCAATGGTAGGTATCAATCATGGTATATTCCCATCTTTGATCTTTCTCTTTGTATTAACTGGTGAATTTGAATCACCAACTAACACAGAGCAAACACAGGGGCATGATAGCTGAGAAATAATTTAGCTTTTAGCCTTTTCCCCATTCTCTCCTGTAAATCAACATAGTAAACTATCATGGTGATAATTAATTGTCCGTAAACACCTGTACATTGAGTCACCTACTAGAAACTTAATAGAGGAGTGTTTATAAGAAACCACTCCTCTTTGGAGAGATTTCCTTTATTTAAACACAGTAGTTGTTGAGTTCTAGTTGGTGTAGGCAACAAACTGCAGTCTAAGATAGATACTTATAATCTATGCTAAAGCAATTGAAAGGAAGCCGGTATTAGCCAAGCTTTATAGATGCTTACTGGCTAATTATTGGTTAAGGTATTTACTGATTGTCACTTACAGGGGTTAGCAGGCTATCCTCCCACATACACTGGGATACAGGGGCCCTATCTTTCTTTATGATTACATTTCAAAGGGATAGGTCTCAGGTCCTTGAGAAAGACACTCTTGGTTTGAGAGAATTTATATCTCAAAGGAACAGAGAAAAGATTTACAATCCCTTGCAAGTTTTCTATAGTAAATACTCTAAGAAAAGAGACGGGGTCTATATTAGGAACAAAGACATTTAAGTTTATTCAAGCTGAAGAAAATGTTAAGCCTGTCTTGGTCGCCCTATGATCGCTATGGTTCACTCTGGTCTTATTTCTGACCAAATTAGAGACGGCAATGTACATAGAGAAGTTCAGAGGGAAAATATATTAGTGTTCAGAAACAAAAATTGGAATAAGGCAGTTAGAGTTAATATTAATATTCCCAAGCTCAGGACCCAAAAATGCATGAATAAAAGAAGGCAAAGATGAAGATTCAGATAACTAGAGGGAAATGACTTATCTGATAAAAACAGGCATCTATTTTTACTGACATTAAAAACCTTGCTTCAAGTTGATAGCCCCTCCAGGATTTATCCAGTAATGTATAAGGTGACTCTAGCCTGTTTCCTTGCTAATTACAAACAAGTGACTCATAATTTCTGAATGAGTTTATTACAGACATTAACGGTTTAGTTTTATACGGAAAAGGCAACAATAATAATCCCTCCCCCCAGTCATTTTGTAATTAGCCCCGCAAATACATGAATGCCATCTCTATAGCAAAATCACCTCAACTAATAAATAATTTATTGAAGACCTACCATGTACAAGTTACTATGTTGTGCAAGTTGCTATATTGTTAGGAGCAGAAAGGTTAAAAAGTTGTATTAACACTCCTCAAATAATCTACAGTCTCATAGGAGAGATTGTACATATTACCAAGCTGGGGTAGTATGCAATATATGCCGTAAATGTTTTCTCCCTGGAATCAGGGTGTGAGAAGAGAGGCCCTCTGTGTTGACTAGAAAGGAAGTCATGGAGAACATCATATTTAAGCTAGACTTTAAGAAAAAAATTCAAGGACATGAGCAATGGCCAATAATCAGAGAGCTCATGTTATGTTTAAGTAACATCAGAGTCAAATTTCCTGAACTGTAGCATTGGGTATCATTTTAGTTAGTTCTGGCTGCTATGACAGAATGCCACAGACTAGGTGATTAAATGATAGAAATTTATTTCTAACCGTTCTGGTAACTTGGAAATCCAAAGTTAAGGTGTCAGTAGATCTGGAGTCTGATGAGGGCTCTCTTCCTGATTTGCAGATAGCATATATGTGTGTGTGTGTGTGTGTGTGTGTGTTTGTGTGTATATATATATATGTGTACACACACAAACACACACACACACACACACACACACACACACACACATATATATAGTCTTCTTGAGTCCTCACCTGGTGGAAAACAAAAAGAGAAGAAGCAACTGCTCTCCTGTTTCTTCTTATAAGGGACTAATCCCACTATGTGGACTACACAATCATGACATAATTACCTCCTGAAAGTCCCAACTCCGAAGACCATCACACTGGGGATTTAGGCTTCAACATATGAATTTTGAAATTCACAAACATTCCATTCAAAGTAGGTGTACATAAAAGGGATGCAGAGGCTAAAACCAGAAAAACAGTTGGAGCAAAAATATTAAAAGCCTGCCATGTCAAGAGGGATTTTGGTTTGTTTGCTTTTCTGTGTGTGTGTGTGTGTGAAAGAGAGAGAGAGAGAGAGAGAGAGTGTGGGTGTTCAAGTTACAGGGAGTTATTAAAGGTTTCTGAGCAATATTTTTGAGTTCATCAATAGCATACACTGAAAAGTATTTATATTTTTAAAGTATGGAGGAGGGAGGAGCTTCAAAATAGCTGACTAGATGCATCTGGTGCTACCCTTTGCCATGGAGAGGAACCAAAATAGTAAATAAATAATCACAACTTGAATAGATTATTTAAGATCAAACACTGGAATTCAACAGAGAAGTGACAGGAAGCACATAAAGCAAGGAAGGAGAGGAAAGTGAGGCAGCCTGTTCCTCAGGGATTGGTGGGGGGTGTGGAAAGTCTCCCAATTGCAAGGAAAGGAAAAGTGAGAGACCTCTCCAGTGATCCACATTCCCGTCACAGATTCCTATAATGCTATCCATGGAAGAGCCCTAGACCCTGGTGGGCCTGAAGACTAACATGTGGAGTTCCTTGGAAACAACACAAAGGCATTGTTCTAGAGAGAAAGCTCATGCTGAGTCCCCTAAATCCCCAAGACGTAAGCAGTGGTGGCACAATCTCGGCTCACGGCTCACTGCAACCTCCACCTCCCTGATCCAAGCAATTCCCCTGCCTCAGCCTCCCGAGTGGCTGGGATTACAGGTGCATGCCACCACACCTGGCTAATTTTTTTGCATTTTTAGTAGAGAAGGAGTTTCATAACATGGTGTCATTTTGAGAGCCCAGGTCACACAAAACTGTGACCTGTTCTGCTGCTGCTGCTGAGGTGAAAGATAGAGGCAACAACCCCCACTATGCAGCAGAGGGGCAGTCACATCCTAAGAACAAATTTCACTGCCCACAAGGCTGCCACTGTTGACTGCTGTGGGCTAAGGTGCAAGCAAAGGCCACACCCTCTCAGCTGTCTGCCTATGGCTTTTCCCAGGGAAAGCCACCCCACTTTTTCCAGTAGCAGGACCACACTGGTGCTGCTGCTCTCACCTGAGCATTATGTCAGTGGCCTGGAAACCACTCATCCTTGCCTATCATAGCCAGCCTTAGCATGCACCCCTTGCAGGCCTAAGGGGACCACCCAGCTTGGCTCCACACCCCTTAGTACCAAAGCACAGTATCCAAGGGTCTGAGGATTGCCCAGCCCAGTCCACCATGGTGGCACCTGAACACTCCTTCTGAGGTCAGAGGTCAGACACAGTCAACCTGTCACTACTCCCACAGCTGGAACCCACTGTAAGTGCCACCTGTGGGTCTCGGGACTGACTCATCCACATCACAGCCACCACCAACACCAGTGCAAACTACTTGTATTCCAAAGCATTGTTCCATCACTGCTATTGCCATCACTGATGCCACGCCTGCTGCCCAGGGACTTGAGAACCCACACATCCACCAGGCCCACTGCTGTCATTGCTGGCACCTGAGCAAGCTACCTGGAGGCCCAATAATTGGCCTGCCTGGACCTGCTAACATTGGTGCCAGTGTATGCTAACCTGGAGCCCAAGGACAGGTATCCTAAGCTCACCACTGACACCACTGGGGCCCTAAGACTGGCATACTGGGTCCTAGACCCCAACAAAACTTCACCACAGTCTTCATTAATAACAAAACCCTAAACTACCAAAGAAATCACAGATGCCATTGACACTGTTTACAGTATAAGAAATTATATAGAAACTCCACTACTGCACTCACCCAAAATCAAAAGCCAAAGTGTCCTACACAACAAACACCTCAGATACACCTTCAGAAAAAGTTCTCTCTTATGAAAGCGAGTTCAAAATATTGAAAGAAATGACTGTTACACTAGATGTGTATATATCAACATAAGGACACAAGAAACACGAAAAAGCAAAAAACAAACAAACAAAAGACTTGTCCAAAGGGACAAAATAATTCTTCAGCAACAGATTCTAAACAAAAAGAAATTCAAAATATTGATATCAAAGATGCTCAGTAATATACAAGAGAATTATGAAAAAATAATACAGAGATTTTAAAAATATCATGCCAGGAATGAGAAATATACAAAAAAAGATAGATATCAAAAGAATAACCAAACAGAAAATCTAGAAGTAAAAAATATATTGAATAAAAAACAAAATACAAGTGAAAGCTTCAACAGTAGACTAGATCAAGCAGAAGAGAATCTCAGAAGTCAAAGACAGGTCTTTTGAAATAACCCAGTCAAACTAAAATGAAGAAAAAAAGGAATAAAAAGAAATAGGCAAATTCTATGTGACATGTGGGAAAACATAAAGTGACCAAACATATGAATTATTGGTGTTCAATAAAGAGAAGTAAAAACAAAAGGATTACAAAACTTGCTTAATGAAATAATAGATGAAAATGTGAAGTCTAGCCAGAAATTTAAACATCTATTTACAGAAAGCGAAGAGATCGCCAAACAGATACAATGCACAAAAGTCTGCTTCATAGTACATTATAGACAAATTATCTAAAGTCAAAGACAAAGAGGGAATTCTAAAAGCAGCAAGAGAAAAGCATCTAGTTACCTATAAGGGAACTTCCATCAGACTATTAGCAAATTTCTCAGCAGAAACCTTACAGGGAAGGAAAGGATGAAATGATATATTAAAAGTGCTGAAAGAAAAAACTTGCCAGCCAAAGATATTGTGTCCAGATACTATATCCAGCAAAAGTACTCTTTATAAATGAAGAAAAAATAAAGTATTTACTAGACAAGCAAAAGCTTAGGAAATTGAAACCCACCAGACCAGCTCTAGAATAAATGCCAAAGGGAATCCTAAATCTGGAAGCAAAAGAACCACATCTAGCATCACAAAACCCCACAACACTATAAAACTCACAGATAGCGCAAAAACACAAATCAGGCAAGGAAAGGACTCAGATGATACCATTATAGTATACCACCAAATCACAATGACAAACAATAAGAAAACAAGAAAGGAATAAAGAATAACACAAAACAAAGTCCTGGAAACATACAACCTACAAAGAATGAATCAGGAATAAACAAAAAAACCTGAACAGACTAATAACAAGAAATAAGATTGAATCAGTAATAAAGTCCTCCAAGAAAGAAAAACTCAAAATTGGATGGATTCACTGCTGCTAAAAGAAAAAAAAGGGGGGATTAGTTTCAATATTCCTCCAATTATTTTTTAAAAATTGAAGAGGAGAGAATATTTTCTAACTTGTTCTATGAGGCCACTGTAACTCTGATACCAAAACCCAGACAAGGAAATGACGAAGAAAACTGTAGGCCAATACCCTTGATGAATGTAGACACAAATATTTCCCAGAAAATAGTAGTAATTGGATATCAACAGCATATCAAAAAGATAATATACCATAATGAACTCAGATTTATACCAGTGATGCAAGGACGGTTCAACCTACACAAATCGATAAATGTGATATAACACATCAACAGAACGAAGGGCAAAAACCGTACGATGATCTAAATGATGCAGATAAAGCATTTAATAAAATTCAACATCTATTTATGATAAAACCTCTCAACATACTAGGCATAGAAGAAACATGCCTCAAAAAAATAAAAGTTGTATGTGACCAAACCATAGCTAACATCAGAATGAACAAGGAAAACTTGAAAGCATTTCCTTTAATAACTTGAACAGGATAAGGATGCTCACTTTCACCACACCTATTCAATAAACTATTGGAAGTCCTAGCCAGAACAATCAGGTCAGAGACTAAAATGAAAAAGCATCCAAAATGAGAAAGAAGAAGACAAAGTTTCCCTCTTTGCAGATGGCATGATCTTATGTTTAGACAAACCAGAACACTCGACCAAAACCTCTTAGATCCAGAAAACAGATCCCATAAAGTCACAAGACACAAAATTAACATGTGAAAGTCAGTATCATTTGTATACACCAATAATAAAATGGTCAAAAAAATTATAAAGGCAATCTCATTTATAATAGCTACAAAAAAACCCACCTAGGAATAAATTTAACCAAGATGGTAAAAAATTTCTACAAGAAAAAGCACAAAATACTAATGAAAGAAAGTAAAGAGGACAGAAACAAATGGAAAACAATCTTATGCTCATGGATCAGAAGAATTAATATCACTAAAATAGCCACACTACCCAAAGAATCTACAGATTCAATGCACTCCCTATAAAAATACTAATATGATTTTTTTTTCACAGAAATAGAAAAAAAGAATTCTAAAAGTCTGATGGAATCAAAAAAGTGTCTAAATAGCCAAAGCAATCCTGAGCAGAAAGGACAAAGTTGAGAGCATCACATTTCAAAATATATTATATGGCTACAGTAACCAAAACAGTACGGTATTAGTACAAAAGCAGGCACATAGACTAATGAAATAGAATAGAAAATCCAGAAGTAAATCCACATATTTACAGCCAACTAATCTTTAACAAAGCTGTCAGGAACATATGTTGGGGAAAGGATATGGTCTTCAATAAATGGTGCTGGGAAAACTGGATAACAACATGCAGAAGAATAAAACTGGATTTCTATCTCTCATCATGTATAAAAATCTACTGAAGATAAATTAAAGACTTAAATGTAAGACTTGAAAGTACACATCTACTAGAAGGAAACCTAGTGAAAACTCTTGGACATTGGTCTATGCAAAGATTTTATAGCTAAGACCTCAAAAGCACAGACAACAACAATAAAATAGACAAATGAGACTATATTAAACTAAAAATATCTTGTGCACAGCAAAATAAACAAGCAAGAGAGTGAAGAGACAACCTCTTGAGTGTGAGAAAATATCTGAAAACTCATCACACTGGAAACTAATAGCGAGAATATATAAGAAACTCACACAACCTAACAGTAAAACAGAAATAAATCCACATTTCTCAAAAGAAGACATACAAATGACCAATAGGTGTATGAAAAAATGCTCAACATTACTAATCATCAGGGAAATGTAACCTGAAATAAGATATCATCTTACCTGTTAGAATGACAATTTTTTAAAAAGACAAAACTACAACAGATGTTGATGAGGATGTGGAGAAAAGGGAACTCTTGTACACTATTGGTGGGAATGTAAGTTAATATAGCCATTATGAAAAACAGTATGGAGATAACTCCAAAACGAAAAGTAGAAGTGCCATATGTTCCAGTGATCCCACTACTGTCTATTTACCTATAGGAAAAGAAACCAATATATCAAGGGACACACTCCTATGTTTATTGTAGCACTGTTGACAATAGCCAAGATATGGCATTAACCTCAGTGTCAATCAACAGTTGAATAAAGAAAGCTCTTAGAACTAATAAATAATTCCATAAAGTCACAGGACACAAAATTAACATGTGAAAGTCAGTAGCATTTGTATGCAACAATAATAAAATAGTCGAAAAATTATAAAGGCAACCTCATTTACAATAGCCACAAAAAAACTCACCTAGGAATAAATTTAACCAAGGTGGTAAAAAAATTCTACAAGAAAAAGCATAAAATACTAATGAAAGAAAGTAAAGAGGATGGAAACAAATAGTCTTCAACAAATCATACAAAGCGTAAGTTAGGTAAAGGACACCATATTCAGTAAATAGTGCCAGGAAAATTTGATAGCTACATGTAGAAGAATGAAATTGGATCCCTATTTCTCACCAATACAAAAATTAACTCAGGATGGATTAAAGACTTAAATCTAAGACCTGAAACCACAAAAATTCTAGAAGAAAACCTAGGAAGAACTTTTCTGGACATGGCCTAAGCAAAGGATTTATGACCAAGACCCCAAAAGCAAATGCAACAATAACAAAAATAAATAAATAGGACCTAATTAAACTAAAAAGCTTCTGTACAGCAAAATAAAAAAACATCAAAGTAAATAGAAAACCTACAGATTGGGAGAAAATATTTGCAAATTATGCATCTAACAAAAGACTGATATCTAAATTCTACAAGGAACTCAAATCAGCAAGGAAAAAACAAATAATGCCATTAAAAAGTGGGCAAATGATATGAATAGACATATCTCAAAAGAAGATATTCAAATGGCCAACAAATCATCAGTAATCATCAGGGAAATGCAAATTGAAACCACAATGAGATACCACCTTCCCCCAGACATAATGGCCATTATTAAAAAGTCAAAAAACAATAGATATTGGCATGGATGTGGTGAAAGGGAATGCTTTTACATTGCTGGTGGGCATGTAAATTAGTATAACCTCTGTGGAAAACAGTGTGGAGATTTCCCTCAGAAATGAAAGTAGATCTACCACTGCTGGGTATCTACCCAAAGGAAAAGATGTCACTACATCAAAAAGACACCTGCACACACGTTTATATCAGCACAATTCACAATTGCAAAGATATGGAATCAAGCTAAGTGCCTATCAGTCGATGAGTGGATAAAGAAATTTGGTGTATATATAGCATGGACTACTACTCAGCCATAAAAAAGAATGAAATAATGTATTTTGCATCCACTTGGATGAAATTGGAGGCAATTATTCTAACTGAAATAACTCAATAATCAAAAAACCAAATACGACATGATCTCGCTTACAAGCGGGAGCCAAGCTGTGAGAGTATGCAAAGGCATACAGAGTGGTATAATGGACACTGGAGTCTCAGAATGGGGGAGGGTAGGAGGGGAGTGAGGGATGAAAAACTACCTATTGGGCACATTGTACACTACTCAGGCGACTGGCACACTAAAATTCCAGACTTCACCTCTATACAGTTCATCCACGTAACCAAAAACCACTTATACCCTGAAAGCTACAGAAATAAAATTTTAACAGAGAGAGAAAATGTGGTATATATAAACAATGGAATACTATTCATTCAAAAACAAGAAAGAGATCATGTTTTTTTGTAGCAAAATGGATGGAACTGGAGTCATTATGTTAACTAAAATAAGCAAAGCACAGAAAGACAAATATCACATGCTCTTACTCATATGTGTGAACTAAAAAGTTGCTCACATGGAGACAGAGGTGGAATGACTAATACGAGAGACTGGGAAGGGTGTACAGGTGGTAGGAGGGAGTAATGAAGAGAGTTTGCTTAACTGGACAAACATTGAATCAGAAGAAGTAAATTCTAAAGTTTGATAGCAGAGTTGGGTGGCTATAGTTAACAACAATGTATTGTATTTTTCAAAATGGCCAGCAGCGAGGACTTCAAATATACTCAACAGATAGAAATGATAAATACCTGGTTTATGAATACTTAAATAACCTGAACTGACCATTACACATTCTATGCATATAACAAATTTCACATGTACCCCATTAACATCTACAAATACTATGTATCAAAAATAAAAAATAATGAAATAATAAAGTATGAAAAATTGGTTCTTTGAGGCAGTAATGACTTATAGTAGGCTAGTATCAGTGAAAATTTAAGGACGTAGTGGACTTAAGTTATTTGAAGGAATCCCCATGAAACAGGATAATCAGGTAGATGAGCTATCTTTGGCTCCACATAATAAACTGTATTTTGTCACAAAAGTCGATATTAAAAGTTTCCATTAAGTCAAACTACTGTTTAATGTTCACATATAGAAACTTTGCATAACTGTTTCTATAACTTTGGGTCAGATAATTTTATGACAATCCTTTAAAATTCATGTATTTGGATTCAAAGCAGCTACTGCTTCTTTTCTATTTACTGTTTTGGAAACATAAAAGAATTAAAATATAATTTTTTAAAATATCAAGGGCTTTTGTTTTTGTTGTTTTTGTTTTGTTATGTTTTGTTTCAGAGTCCGGGTTTGGGGTTTTGCTTTGTTGCCCAGGCTGGAATGCAGTGGCACAATCATGGCTTACTGTAGCTTTGTACTCCTGGGCCCAAGTGATCCTCCTGTATCAGCCTCAGAAGTAGTTGGGACTACAGGCATGTGCCACTATGCCCAGCTAAAAATACCAAGTTTCTAAATCATGAAAAAACAATCCATATTTCAAATGTGATGCTTCCATATTTTGAAGACTTCTTTTTTTATTTTAAATGGTTCTATTTTAATACTGCCAATCTTCAGATTTTTGTATTTTGAAATTTTTCATACTTTGTACAGGAAACAGAAGTGAAAGTTTGAAAAATATAAATTTTAAGAAGAAAAATAAAATGTTAAAGATTTCTGCCTTGTGCCCTGCTTAGTTCAACATACACAAAGATAAATACGAATGCATTCTCTCTCTCTCTCTCTCTCCCCCCCACTATCTCTATCTGTCTTCATGCAAAAACTTCCAAAATTCCAGTTAAGAGGATGCTTCAAGGGAATACATGAGATGAGCTGACAGATCTACTAGAATATCCATTTCTAATAAATGTATACAAAGTGGTCTCCTGAGAAATATTTTCAGGATCCATTTGGCCTGGAATTATGAATTATTTTGATAAATATCTCTACTTAGTGAGATTCATTGAGTCAGTATGTTGCTTCAGCTTTTGTTATTTAAAATTAACCATTTTATTCCAAATTGCAGTCTAAAATTCTAAAATCATTCTAATGTAAAATTCAATTGTTTTGGCTACCAGAAGTTTCAACAGTCTTCCATTTAATTAAAATTTGTATATAGACACATGTATTTTCAGCATAGCATACCAGCTAACTGCTTGAAGGAATCTCAAGTAGCAGTACCAATTACTTCACCAAATCAAATAATAATCTGCTGAAAACCAAAAATAACCACATAAGTAATGAGATAAATTGCAAAATTGGCCACAGTCTTTCTTCCCTCCCTTTGCACTGTGACTTTGGTGATCTATCTTCCCAAAAAGACATGGAGTCTATTTCTCACTCTTTGAATCTGACTGGGTGTGGGCACTTGCTTTGGTAATAAGAATGCAGCAGATTGCAAAAATTTTCTCCCACTCTGTAGGTTGCCTGTTCGCTCTGATGATAGTTTCTTTTGCTGTGCAGAAGCTTTTTGGTTTAATTAGATCCCATTTGTCAATGTTTGTTTTTGTTGCAATTGCTTTCGGCAACTCTTTCATGAAACCTTTGTTGCAGCCTATGTCCAGAATGGTATTTCCTAGGTTGACTTCAAGGGTTTTATAGTTTATGGATTGTCCTGTGTCATGGGGGTTCCATCCTCCAAATAATTTAAGTCCACTAAATTTGTTAGAAATTATATGTTTCTGATCTTATTTACATAGCAAAATTTCTATGTAAAAACAAAGTTTTTACTTCTCAATAGTGATCGTTATTGTTCCTCTTTGAATAACTTACAAAGGATGTAATTATAAATTACATAAAATATAGACCAATTGTTTTTATTTAAATGATGTCCACATTTTATAGAGAATGGCAATATTGTTTCTTCAGTTTAGATAACTCCATCTAATCAAATAGTAGATAAACACACGGATAGGAATGATATAACAGGTTCTAATCCTAGTTCTAACAAAGACAAACTAAGGTAATAGTCAATTTCTTTTCCCTCTGTTGTCTCATTCATGAAGGAAAGAGAATGAAGCCTCCTCACTAGTCTTTGAGGGTGGCTGTCAGGATAAGGTGAAATGGTACATCTTCAAGTACTTCAAAAAGCATAAAGCGCTATGTAAATGTAAGGTAATATCATTATTACATCAGGAGAATAGACTCTCCTAGGCTGCATAAATAAAGAGAGACAGGAGAGTTAGTCCCTACTTAAAAATTAATCACTTTAGTGCAATACAAAAAGCACTTTCTTGCTCTCCCTGGGAAGTTGAGGGGAGATCCTCTGGTGGGCCCTCCATGCATTTCACAATAAATCTTGCATTTCATTAATCAACTATGGGCATTTAAAAAGGCCACCTGTGTTCTAGTTGTTGCTTAAAATGAAAAATGCTGCCCTAGGTGACTACTTTCTGATTAATCTGGATATTTACTGCACTACTTCTCACATTATCATCAATCCACACAAATATCTAAAGTCAAAAGAGGCTTATAAAAATATTATGCTCAGTAAAGACAACAAGGGGAATGGAGTGGCAGAGAGATAGACAGAAGTAGAGGCATAGAAAAAGATGAGGGGGAGATAAGTGTCTGGAGGAGTAGAATCTTCAAATGCATTTCTTCTGGCAAATCATGATTTTTTTAGGAGAAAATCAGATAACCCCTTGTTAACTTTGTGAACTTCATAATGACTAGATCTGTTTATTATTCCTTGGTAGATCTACTTACCTCAGAATGAAGTCCTGATAAAATGAGAGTTTTAGGTATCATGTCCACATGGACCATTTTTCTTTGTCTTATAATATGGCTTCACACTGAGCAGGGCCTCTAACCCCAACCAGCTATGGTAAGAGTATGTGGTATGAGTCCCAGTGGACTCATAGTGGAATAATAAGGCCTATAGTGGAATAAGCAGTCATATAAAACAGCTATGAAGTCTGTAAGACCTGAAGGTTGTGCTGTCACTTATATTCTCTCTCTTGTTCTCTCCTCCCTCCTCTCTCTTTTGCCTCCCTCACTCCCCTCCCTCCCCTCTTCCTTCCTTCTTTCCTTCCTTCCTTCCTTCCTTCCCTTCCTTCCCTTCCCTTCCCTCCCCTCCCCTTCTCCTTCCTTCCTTCCTTTCCTTCCTTCCTTCTTTTCTTTTCTTTCCTTTCTTTCTCTTTTTTTCCTTTTCTTTTTCTTCATTTCAGTCTTGCTCTGTCCCTCAGGCTGGAGTACAGTGGTGCAATCTGGGCTCACTGCAACCTCCCACTTCGGGCTCGAGAAATTCTCCTGCCTCAGCCTCCCAAGTAGCTGGGACTACAGACGTGCACCACCACACACAGCTAATTTTTGTATTTTTAGTAGGGGCAGGGTATCACTATGTTGGTCAGCTCGTCTTTAACTCCTGACCTCAAGTGATCTGCCCGCCTTGGCCTCCCAAAGTGCTGGGATTACAGGTGTGAGCCACTACACCCGGCCCCTCACCTTTCTTCCCCTTCCTCCCAATCCCTTCCTCCCAGCTCACTAATGCTCAAGATTCCTTGATTCCCTTTACAGAGGCTAATCTTTTGGGACACAGTTAAAATAATACTTCAAATTAAAATGCCCCTGAGAAAGTTAAGAGAAATTCATTCTAACAATTGCTTAAGTGATCACTAATAACTCCTTCTTGAAAGCAGGAGGCAGACAGGAGATTGTTAGGTATCCTGATGGGGAATTGAGAGAAGGACAATGACAGTAAAAGAATGTCGCCAATTTTTATTTCAAAGATGGACTTAAGAGACTTCACTGTTTGGGCAAGACATTACCCTACCTAGGCGGTGATATGGTTGGATCAAATAAAACAATTTCCAGTATAGAAACAGCAAGTTGAAGGGAGTGTGCTGCCAATGGTGGATCTCTCTAGCCATTTTGGTGGAGAGCACCACGTGAAGTTTAGCAGCTTCTGGTAGGTGATTTACTGTCCAGTCATTGCACGGCATAGACTCAGCCCGCACCCTTGAAATCCAATTGATTAAAAGTTTGCCTTCAGTTACACAGAGTACTTTCAATTCATTTCATGAAGGAATCAGAGCTGGAGAAAGGAAAAGTCAAATCATAAATTGGTCTAAAAAGTTAAATCACCAGCAGAAGATTAAAAGAAGTAGAAGAGAAGGTCCTCTGAGGACATGTGGTGTGAAATGATCTGGAACAGATCTTCTTACTCACAATAACCAATTACTGTCTACACTACACTCTTCCAGCAGATAGTATCAGCAATTGCAGTTACTACAGGATTCAATCATTTCAGCAGAGACACCAGGATGTGCAATGGGTACTGATTATGGTCGGCATGTGAATGGAATACTCTTCTCACACATGACTAAAGATCAATTCCAAATTCAAGGTGCGTAGGTCCTTGGAAATGAATCAAAAGCAAACAAAAACTTCCATCTTTGCTAAAATTTTGATAACTGTACCACATCTATCATTTCTTGTGGCAGCTCTGACAGCAGCCAATTAGAAGAAAACTCTCGCTTTCCTATTTAGTGCATCTGAGGAGTAATCTGAAGGGTAATTACACAAGCCCTATGGTGAAAGTTTAGCTAATGAGCTTCTTCTGCAGAGTAAAAAATTTATTATTTTGCTTGTGGCAAGGTCTCAATATGAAATCAAAAAATTAATCCCATGTATTCTGTGGTTGAATTAATATAATCATTTGAAACTGTAATTCTGCCTGTGAAAGAAATAGCCCCTTTTCATTCATGTCTTGTGATATTTTGCCATTTTTAAAATTTAGCTTCACACTACAACTTTATGTAAAGCAGAGACTTTGGAGTAATATATTGACTGTCACTGCACTTCAAAAAGGGAATGATTAAAATAGACCCCAAAGAATTAATCATCTCTGCCTGCAATAAAATCTTACATATGATTTTTGGTGTATACTGACCTACTTTGAACCACATCAGAAAGTTCACCTGACAGAAAATAAGCAATATTTCTCATTAGATAAGTTTTAAAAAAAGATTTTGGAGATAAAAATTTGTTTACTTCATCTTCAGTCACTTTGATTCTATTACTTATTCTTCTTTATAATTCATATAGAAAAACTGGTTTATCTTAAAACCTGATTTCATTTGACATATAGATAACATTGAATATAAAAGGCACTTTGGTCTGATTGGAAAAGTAAGAAGTTAGAAGATAAACCTACATCCTAAAGTTGGAAAGTTTCAAAAGAAAATAATAGAATGTTCTTGGGCTTCAAATGCTTCATCTGATAAATGAGAATAATAATACCAAAATTACTGTGGAAGGTAAATGACAAAAATTTCAAAACATATTTTAAAGTTAAATGTGCAATATGAGTGCTGATAACATAGTATTTTTACTATTTAATGAAACAGTATTTTTATGAAAAATGCAAAAAAGTATTCATGTTTTTATTTTATAACTGGAACATGCTTCGTGCTGGAGTTTACTAGTTAACTATAATCAATAATAAAAACATGTACGGGCTCTGCATTTATATATTATGTAAGAAAGAATTCTTTTAATAATTTGCATGCCACAATTATACTCTGAAAAATTAAAAAAAACACAATTTTACCAAGCTGTTCGTGTTTTAATTAGACAAAATATGGACACCTTAGCCAATGGCAGTAATCATTAAGTTTGCCAAAGGCCTATGGGAAATCTCACATTGGAATTGTTTCCATGGGAAGTTTCTCTATGTTAGATATTAACAGACCCATCAATCCAATCTTGTAAAGAACTTGACATGACTTACGAAGAAATGGTCACAGAATGGTGACATGGAAGCTGAAGTACCCACTAAATGATGTCCATAGAAGGAGGGAAGGAACAGAAATAATGGGAAGGAAAGGGAAGCAACGGAAGGGAGGAAGGAAGGAAGGAAAGAAAGGAGGGAGGGAGAAAGGGAGGAGGGAAAGGAGGAAGGGAGGGAGGGAGAGAGGAAGAAGGAAAAAATAAAAAGAAGTTACCAGGCATAAGAAAGTTGAAGCCATAAGAAAGCAAAGCCAGAGTCTGAGAAAGGAGTGGAGAGTTTAGTGGTTGAGAGCAAGAGCATGAACCATGAGGAGGGTTTACTTATTCATAGAAAAAAACAAGAAGCGGTAGAAGCAGAGATGGAAACTTCTCATCACAGTGTGACAGTGTAAGGAGCTACAGATGCTTGGTGCTCGAGGGACAAGATAACATACTTTTGAAAACTGCAGCATATCATAATCCACGTCTACTTCAACTGGACTGTATGGCCTTTGAGCTAATTCCTTGTTCTTCATCACTGTTTTTCCCTCAGCTTCACAATTAGGCAATAATCTCCATAAAATGAGGCAATGTCTCCTTTCTTCTCAACCTACAATAACTTAGCTTGCCAAGACAGACCCTTGACAATGAGATCAACATTTTTTACCTCAAAGTTAGTCCATTCAGTTGCCTCAAAGTTAGAAAATGAGAGATTCAGACATCAGATTTTAGCTTTGCCAAGACTATTATTTACCTTCTTCTCAGTTAAATTTAAAAATGAAATGATTACAACCTCAAAATATCTAATAAATTCTGAGTTGACCCTTAAGGTTATGGCCCTTGCTCTTATTTTCTTCATTTCTGTATAATCTGAAGTCACACCACTACCTTTTAAATACTAGCAAAAACAAATCAAAAGAACTAAGATTTAAACTCAATTCCTTGTACCATCAACATGATAATTATTCAGAACCAGCCTTTTCAGAGGGTGAAAACATGGATTTAGAGGAGTATAATATCTCATATGTATAACCCATTATATTAAACACTTATGCATACACTTATACATACACATGCTATTTTAAACCTCATTTTTCAACCATAAAAGTAGTCAAATTGGGTTGTCTTTACCATCTACTTGTCAAATAAAGCAGTACAAGAAGTTTAAATGCTTCGTCCAGGGTCCTAGAACAATTCGGCAGAAGTGGAACTAAAAGACAAGTGTTTCAACTCATAGTCTATTTCCTTTTGTTGGTACTACATTTCCAATCATGTCTGTTACAGCCAAGAGGACTTCGGAAGAATTTCAAAGATTACTGGTGGCAATATAGCAGATTTAAACATGCTTGAATTATTGAAGGCAAGTGAAGAGATACTAAAAAAGATACAGCTCTGTGTGGAGAGAGATACAAGGCTGTGTTCTTAGAAATTTCTAACCCTCTGGAATTGGAGAACATTACACTAAGTAAAACAAGTCAGGTGTAGTTTGTCAAGTACTGCATATTCTAACTTATATGTAAAATCTAAAACCATTGAAGTTCTAGAAGCAAAGAATAGAGTGGTGGTAACAGAGGTTGGGGATGGAGAGAACAGGGAAGTGATGGCCCAATGGTACAAAAGAGATTAGACAAGAGAAATATGTGTTTTCTTGTTCTGGGTTATACTGCACAGTGTGGTGAATATAGTTAAGAATAAAGTATTACATATTTCAAAATTGAAGAGAGAGTAAATTTCAAATGTTCTCACCACAAAAAAGTTAAGTACTTGAGGTGATGGTTATGTTAACTAGTATGATTTAATTACTCCACATTCCATTCATAAATGTTGACATTATTTTTTACCCTGTACAATTATAAGTTGTCTATTTACAACTAAAAAAGAAATTCCCATCTCTCTACTTTTTATGTGACACCTATTGTGCTGTAAGCTGCATGTTCTTTAATAGATTAACCATCTCTGTCTCATAGGTTGTGCTCTTAATCCCAAGGCAGTCAATTTTAGGCCTGGGAACATTTTCTTAACTCTCTCTCAGGGCTTGCTTCCCAAGGGCAGGAAGAAAAAAGGATTTATTAATGAAAAGAGAATAGAGTGCTCTTTTCACAAAGATGTGACTGCGTAGGTATAACACACTGCCCAGGAATCACAAATAACTACTGTGAACTGATGACGAGAAACCTTAGGGATCAAAATAAAATGCTAAGCCACCATTCTAGGGAAAAAAAATCAGAGAATAGTTTAAAAAGTAGACAGCAAGCATGAATTTTTCATTACTTTTGAAAGAAGCAGTATAGATTTCTAGCAGATGAATTCTACTGTGATAATTTCATTGTCTTTCAAATATATGAATGGAGAAAATGGTTAATTTATTTTATGGGAGAATGATCAACTTTCGTGAGATTGCTCTATGAACACTTCAATTTTAAAGATGCCAGGTGTTTCTGAAATATTCCACCAAGTCAATCTGTGATGCAATGAACCTTCTTTGAACCATACTAGTCTTCAAATGCTTTGAGCAGTATGAGTTGATTGCTCTCTAGTTGTGACACAAAACCGTTAACTTAGACCTTCTTTCATCAGCAACTTGGAACTCACTTTCATCTCTCTGGTATTTGGAAGCTGTTTTTTTTTTTTCTTTCTTGGATACTTTCCTACTTTAGCTCAATAGCTTCCTGAAAAACATTCATGGAAGGTAATTTGTAAAGATCTTTTATCACTAAAATATCTTAGTTCTACCTTGTACTAAGAATTGCTATCAGTTACCATAGGCTAGGCATGTTAAAGCGTTACATGACACCACAGTTTACGTAGATGTGAGTAATTCTGGTCTGAGTATCTAATTCTCTTTCTCTTCTTTGCTTTTAACCAGTATTTTCTGGGAGACCCAAAACTTACTTTTTATACTTTCTATTGAGTTTTTTATATTTTAAAATCATATTTCTATTCCCTACAGCTCTTGTTAATACTCTTTAATAGCAGTATAGCAACCTGTTCTGGCTTCATGAATGTATTTTATCTCTCTAAGAATATTAATAATTTTCCAAGTTTTATAAATGCAATATCTGCATTTCTTTCAAATTGAATATTATTGTTTTGTTTGCTTTGATGCCTGACCTCAATATTAAAGAACTTTCTCAATGTTTAGTGTTTCTTGGCTAATTACTGATATTTATAGATGGGAATTGAAAGTTAACTGAAAACCAGGAGTAGCCCATGAAGTTTGTTAATTGTAGGTCTTTCGAGAGGTGACTGAACTTTTATGCTGGAAAAACATGACTATACACATCTTTAGGTCCTTTCTCTTGGGCTAAGCTGATCCCAGGGCATAATAATAACAATAAACACCTGGTATTTATTACATGTCAGAGTTCCAAGTACTTACAAGGTAATATTTTATTGAATCCCAAAAAATTTATGCGAAAGGTACTCTTTTAATCCCAGTGTTATAAATGAGCATACTGAGATGAAGAGAAATTGAGTAACTTGTCCAAAGTCATACAGCTAACTACTAGCACACAACCCAGCAGACTGGCTCCAGCATCCAGAACACCACATTGCCTCTTGTGTTCCCATTGAGAAGATATAAGCTCAGAGTTATATGGGTGAAAGGGCTAGGATTTCACCATTATTTGTGTGGACAGTTTTTCACTTAATCTCCCCGTGTTCCATAAACAGCCTTCAACACTACTTGGTGTTGCCTCTTGTACTCATCGAGTACCGAATCTTTGTGTTTTACCCTTTCTAGAGGATAAATCTTGAGGCTTCTACAGGATCACAGAAAGTTGTCCTACTGCTTGGAGGGAAGATCTGAAGTCTAAAGACTTATTAAGCAGATTTTTGACCAATCTTTTTATTATTAGCCTATCTTCTCCTGACTTCCAGTGGATCTAGTGCCATGGATTCATGAGATGTGATGTGTGTGTGTGCAAATCATGGTGCTTCACAGCTTTTACAATGGCCAGCTTAGAATTTAGATTTTCAGATGGGCCAAAGTTCTTTTGGTTTCTAGTTCCCCAAATGTTATCATCTCCTTCCCCATTTCTGAAAATGTTTCTTTTTCTTTTTTTTTTTTGAGATGGAGTTTCGCTCTTTCTGCCCAGACTTGAGTGCAGTGGCACAATCTTGGCTCACTGCAACCTCTGCCTCCCTGGTTCAAGCGATTTTCCTGCCTCAGCCTCCTTTGCAGCTGGGATTACAGGCGCCCGCCACCATGCCCGGCTAATTTTGTATTTTTAGTAGAGACGGCATTTCACCATGTTGGCCAGGCTGGTCTTGAACTTCTAACCTCAGGTGATCCGCCCACCTTGGCCTCCCAAAGTGCTGGGATTACAGGCATGAGACACCGTGTCCGGCCCGAAAATATATATATTAAAAAAAATTCCCTTATTGTTTTAATGAGTTATTAGCAGGGAGCAGAGACAAATTTTATATCAAATAGCCGATTTCAACTGGAACTTAGTTATTTTTTTTCATTCGAAAACATATATTTTAGATGAACTACTCTCCCACGGCAAGCATTGGAACTTACCTTGTGTAAGCAAATTTACTTGCAAGATATTACACCTGGAAGGGAGAATGATTATTTGCTGAGTAATCACCTGTATACCAGGCAATGGGAATAGACAATTTAATCACCTTCACTTGTTAATGTATTCATTCAATAAATATTAATATGCCAGACTTTACGTATAAATTAAAATAAGCTGTGGGGAGATGCTGTCCTCAGGGGGTATTTGCCAATTGCCTGAAGACATTTTAGTTATCACAACTGGGTGGGGGGTGCTACTGGTATCTATCGAGCATAAGCCAGAGATGCTCCTAAACATTCTACAATCCACAGAATAGTCGCGACAGCAAAGAATCATCTCGCACAAGATGTCAATAGCACCAAGGTAACGACACTGTGAAATAAAGTCTTGTGAAAATAATAACCAGTTCAAATTGTAAAGACCTGGTTTCTCCTACCAGCACTGCTTTAGCTCCTCTGATATTTGTGTCTTGGTTCGCTTTGATTTTATTTCAAAAAGAGAGCCTCAAATTGCATTGCTCTTAGCCTGTTACTTCATCTACAGAATGCTTCCGCTCAAAGAGGGAACATTTTCCCAAATCCTTTACTTCTGCTTTTTTCAGAATGAAGTAGAAGACTGCTCTCCTATAGCAAAAAATCTTCTACAGCAACAGCAATGAAGATCCAAAAGGGTGACGACCTAAGACAATCTGCCCCCAGCCTTGAGAATACTAGCTGGAAAGTGTGGGGGAGAAGTGACTTTGGCAAGAGTACTTCTGCTCACAGACAAAACAGGAAGTAGCTTCCTCCCCTAAAGAAAGCTAGCTCTTCCAGGGAGTGTGAAAGCCTACGTTACCTTTTGCGAATTCAAGAGTTGGTCTCATTGTGCCAAAAACTTAAAATAGATTCCACAACTGAAGGTTTCTAAAGTTGCTATACTTTTTGAAGAACATCTCATGGGAAAAAGTTTATTTAGGCAAAAAACAGACAGTTTTCTCCAGTCATAAAAGATTTATTGTGTGAGAGACTTGCTATACCAGAGACTGGAGATACTGTAACAAAATTCATCTGCCACAAAAATGTACAACTACTTTCAAAGATAATGAAAAATTCACAGCTCAGTTTTTTCTTTAACAGAATTGGTATCATTTTCAAGTAGAGTAAGAAGGCATATGTTCTTCAGTTTTAATGTGGAAAAGAAAAGCGTTTTATTTTTCTGTGAAGCTAGATGACAGTTCATTTCCCCATAATGACTTAATTCTTCATCACTCTGTCCTGACCAACCTTTCCCTCCATTTTACCTGAATCCTTAAGGGAGTCCACATCTTTCCTATTCTGACCTCCCGGATGTGGGTCTTCATCACTAGTTGTGTGTGTGCGTGCACATGTGTGTGCACATGTGTCCTGGAGTGGGGAAGAGGCATGTATTATTTCTAGAATTCTAAAAGAACAAGTAACCAAATGCTTTAAATTTATAGCTTTGTCCATGTTGCCCTGTTCCTCTAGGATTTTAAAATACAGGCTCATTATATTGACCAATTTTCACAATACTAACAGCAATTTTGAAAGTTGTCTGGTCATTTTTTTTTAAGGAAACCTCAACTAAGGTAAATACTTCTATAATTATGTCATTTACACTTGGCTTATTTTCTAACTTAACTATAAAAATGAACATAAAATTACCTTCTACTATCTTGTCTAAATCTTTATCTTTCTCTCCTAAATATGCTGTCAATATTGTGAGGGCCATTGCCCATTAGAATATGATAAGCAGTCGATTTTCTTCCCGCAGAACAGATATTTGAAACAACACAGTGGGTTCTTAAGCGAAGTCTATTATTTTCTCCAAGTTGAACTTGAAAGTTGCCAGACCAAGCAGAAAACAGATTGGTGGTGTTTCAGTAAAGGCAAAGCGGTATAGAGAAAATAATACAGTCTGTGAAGTCACACAGGCCTGATTTCAAATCCCAGCTCTGCCATTTACAAGCTGGGTGGTCCTGGATAAATTATTTAACCTCTGTGGTCTTCAGTTTCCTCCCAACTTTGTAGGGTTATTGTGAGTATTCAACTATACCAAGTTATAAGTGCATAGGTATTCAATCAGTGTTCATTCCCTTCTGTATCAAAGATTTATAATGGACTTTTCATGGAATTGTCTCCACCTATAATTATGTGACTGTGCCTTCAGATTATCAAAATTATATGAATTGTCCATGTGCCCTTGGTTCTGAATATTCAACTCTGTATTGCAGGAATGCCTACTCAGTTGCTTGAATGGGTCTTTGGAGTTAACAAAATGGCTGTAGAATTGAAAAAAAAATACTTAAATGCTTAATCACTTCAAAATTTTAGCTAACCCTTTGAAAAAGAAATGAATTTTCTGGGATCTTTTATAATTCAAGTAATACACCTTTTCTTAAGATCTTTTGTTACTTAAGTGAACACGAACATTTTCCTAAGACATATTAAACAAATAAATACGCACATAAAATTGAAATATATAATTATATTTTATGACAGTATTGATATAAAGATGAAAATGTACGTATATATTCAAGCATTTTCTTAAAACAAAAAATTAGTTTTTTTCTGATTTAAAAAATGAAAATATTTTCATGGGCCCCTAACAGTATCACAAGCCCTAGGCACTGTGCTAGCTTTGTCTGGTAGATAAGCTGGCTCTGACTTCTGCCATACTCTGTTGGTCAAAGCAATCACAGGGCTTACTAGATTCAATGGGATGGAAAATTCAGCTCTACTTTTTGGTGGGTTAAAGTCAAGGAAACATTTCAGAAGAGTGTGTGGATGGGAGATACTGTACAATCATCTCTGGAGAATAAAATCTGTCAAAATGAAAGTGCTTCTGAGAAACATGTGCCCTTTTGCTTTCTTTCTTGGAATGTACCTATATAATAACTGAAGATCTACTATTCCCAAAATCATTGAGAGGGCTTAAAGGAATATTTTCTGATACTCAAGATTTTCAGGGAAATGTAAATCAGCCATACTGTTTTCAAAATGTTGCTATACAAATATAAAGATATATTGTACACTCAGGAAATTGTTGCTGAAACAATTATAACTTTATAGATATTTTCAAAAAATCTAAGTGTGTTTATGTGAAAATAATTGCATAGGCAAGTCAAACACGATACTAAGGAAACTGATGTTATGTTGCTTCAATTTCAATGCAAAGTAAAAGCCTAATAGAGTAAACAGGTATCCATACCATATCATCAAATGGAATAAAAGAGTTAGTATAACTCTTTTATTTTATTCATCAAATGAATAAAAGAGTGAGTATCCATGTTGGTTTAATGGACCTGACTGTTTTGGATGTATCTTGGTGCAGAAGACAATACCTGCAATGTCCTGAGAAATTTAAGTCTCTCTCGTTCTCTGTCTCTGTCTCTTTCTCTCTCAGGCATGCACACACATACACACAATCTGTTATGTCCAGTTTAACAGAAAAAAATAATTCTAAATAACAGGAATACCACATGTAGCTGACAAAGTGGAAATTCAGTATATTAAAGATTACCCTGGGTATTTTTCTCTCTCTTCCATAGAAATACAGGGCTATTTTTATTAATGCATGGTAATATACTAGACTGTGGTTGTATAAGTCCACATACTCAAGGCTATTCCAAGATACCAATTATAGCAGCACTGGGTTAGCTTGGAAGGCTGGAATGAACAGATTGTCTGGTCTGGGGAAGACTGATTTTACCTGTATAAGACAAAAACTAAGTCAAAATGGAGAGCAACACAGTATCATACAAAATAATCATTTCAAGAACATAACATGTAAGAATGGACTAGACTCCTAAACAATTTTTAAAACATCACAAAATATAAACTAATGTTTGAAGAGATAACAATAATTTAGACACTAATTTTGGTATTTCAAATGTAGAAAAAAATCAGTCTTTTATCCATCCAGCACTCATTCTTTTGCAAATTCCACCTCACCACTGTTTGGAGAAATCACCAACCCTACTCACTCCCAGAATATAGTTTAAATTTAAGGTTCCATCTTATAGCCTTACCTCTACTGCCACAGAATTGATCTGCTGTGGAGCTTTAATACAATTGATTTTACTCAGGTATTTTATAAAATAATTCTCAGAAACTGATAATTGCAATAAACAGTTACCAAGTACTATATTATGTACCAAGTACTTTTGCCTATGTTAGCTTATCTAATTTTTTCAGTAGCCCTAAGAAGAGATATTATTAGTCACACTTTACAGATGAGAAAATGGAGGCACAGAGAACTTACATACCTGATTGGGGTTACACAGGCAGTAAGTACAGTATTTAAACCAAGATTAAAACTCAGGCAGTCTAACAGCAGAGCATGTGTCCTCAGCTATTATGTCATTTTATCTTTAGGGCATCAAATTTGGAAAGAGTAAACATGGCTACAGGAAAACTCCAGGGAAAATGTTAATAATGATTACTTTTAATTTGTCTAAAGGGGTTAAGCTTATTACAAAGTTTCAAAAACAATGCTTATTGTGATTAAATCCTTCTTATAATTACAGATATACTCATAAACTGTAAAGTTCAAAGTTTCAAATACTTAAAGAATATAAATTACACTCTTTTTGAAGCTATTATGATATACATACCTGTCTTAGTCCATTTTGTGCTGCTATATAGGAATACTTGAAACTGGGTAATTCATAAAGAAAAAAGGTTTAATGGGTTAATGACTCTGACAACTAGAAAGTTCAATATTGGGCATTGGGTGAGAAATGCCCAGTCATAAACCTTCTAGTTTTCAGAGTCGCAAACCAATTAAACATTGAGCTTCTTCCACTCATGGCAGAAGGCAAACGGAAGCTAGAGTGTGCAGAGACATGGCAAGGGAGGAAGCCAGAGAGAGAGGATGTACCAGGCTCTTTTTAACAACCAGCTCTCAGGGAGCTAATAGAATGAGAACTAATTTACCCCTGAGGAAAGGCACTCATCTATGCATGAGGAATATGCCCCCCATGACCCAAACACCCACCATCAGGCTCCACTTGCAACCTTGAGATCAAATTTCAACATGAGGTTTGGAGGGGACAAACACCGAAGCCCTAGCAATACCACATGAGCTTTTTTATTGGGAACTTATCCATGAAAAAGCACCTATTCATTTTACTGGAATTAAGGTAGAAATTAGTTTCTCAGCTGATTAGAAAAACTGTGTCTCACTGCTATAAAAGTAGCATAGAACTCTTCACTGTTCATTAATGGCGGATCTGTGTCTGATTCCAGCCCTCACTAGGCTCTAAGATTTGGAGAACAGACATACTCACTTGTCCTCAAGGTTAGCCAGAATAGAAACAAACTCTGGTTTCTAAAGGTGTCGCTTTGAGAGTGGCCAGAAGCCTACACTTGTTTTGTCAATAAATCAAAAGCTTTGGTCTCCTGGGCTGTTTGCCCTATCCCTTTCTTGCTACTTTATTCTTCCTAAACAATAAATCAATAGGCCAATCCTAGCCAATCCTAAAATGTTTCAGCAGGACAAAGACCAGCGCATTTTTTGGAGCTAAACTTTGTGTTTCTTGCACGCTCTCTGGATACAAATAATACAGCTCTCACTTTAATGTGTGGGGTTAAGAGAGAATACTTTGTAAGTATATATGACACATCAGAGTCTATAAACTAAAGTTGCTTCTTTCCTTGAAATTGATCCTAAAACTCAAGTTGTGAAGTCATAGTGTAAAATAGTCTCTAGGTCGTGAATAACCCAACTTTGGTGCCTCCTGTGATCTTTTTATTCTGGAACGCTGCTTATATTATGTGTCTCACCTCCCACTTCCACCAGGGTCAAACTTTTTATTCTCAGGTGAGCTCCAAAATCCAGACTCAGTAAAGCAATGAGAGGATTGATTTATTTCCCCTGTGATTACTCTCTAAAGGGAGGAAGCCAGGAACTGCTCTTCATTGTTATACTTGAAAGGAATTAAAAGTGATTCTCTTAGAATAGCTCTAAGAGACATTTTCCAGGCTAGCTTTTTTTTTTTTTTTTTTTTTTTTTTTTTTTTTTTTTTTTGACAGAGT
This sequence comes from Homo sapiens, assembly GCF_000001405.40. Lineage (NCBI taxonomy): Eukaryota > Metazoa > Chordata > Mammalia > Primates > Hominidae > Homo > Homo sapiens. The sequence goes on from NC_000002.12 coordinate 52,703,871, forward strand.
CTTGCTCTGTCGCCAAGGCTGGAGTGAAGTGGCATGATCTCCGCTCACTACAACCTCCACCTCCGGGGTTCAAGCAATTCTCCTTCCTCAGCCTCCCGAGTAGCTGGGACTAGCTTCCTTTCTAAATGTCCAATTCCTTTCTGATTGTAACATGTAGAATTAAATACTCAAACCACCATAGGACATACCACTATACTTCTAGAGTTGTAGCATCCAAACATCAGCTTCTTTCATCAGTATCTTAGCTTTCAATTTACTAACATAACTACAGTTCTGTGCTAACATTTATTTTTCCTGCGCTCTTTATATCACTCTCTCAAGCATCATTGTAAAATTTCTACCTTCTGTTGACACTCCTTTACTAGTTCCAACTTTCAGTTCATTTTGTAATTATTTGCATGGAGTAGTTGATTTCTTATTGTTTATATTTTTTGTTTTCTGTATATTGTGATGTTTTGACATCTCAAAAGTTTTTCCAGCTAGGGAAATACAACTTCTCCCAAGGACAGCTAAGAGATAGTGAAGAATAAAGCCAGAGCATGCTTTTGTTATACAAACTAACCAATCCAGAGCCATTCCCTTCTCTGCCTGGCCCTACTCTCTAAGCAGCACTGTTTCTCACCTTAATCATCCCAGTACCAGGTAGCAGGCAAATAGGCACCATTGTAACATCTTCAGCCCTGCTGAAATTATTCAAACCAGCCAATTCTAAACTATTTACTCTGCCCTGCCTTGCCTTTTCTGTGGAAACAATAAAGATTTGTTTTGTTCTCATAAATGAAGTCCAGATACTGTCAGGTGTTGGAAGTGGTCCTGTTATTCAGTGATGCCTTTGGAGATATAGGCTCTTTTCATCTTTTGAATCCACTCTCCTTATTATGCTTGTCTTTGGCCTTAAGATTAAAATCTTGGGGACTATACAAGAACTATAGCTCCATGTAATTTGACTCTTTTCAAAGCAGGAAGAAGTCAAAACATGTTTAGGAATGGGCATCTGGAAAAGGGCAGCCTCAATATGTTTCACAAAATAATATATTAGGGACATTGTATACATGAGTTATTCATTAAGTATCCAAGTGAGTAATGTGCTTCTCAGAATAGGTTTCTGGCATAGAGAATGGTATTGATGATTAGAGACATGGCAATAAATGACATCGATTAGAGTTAGATTCTGAGACAAAGGAGAAATGGGAGAATAGGGGATATATCAATATATAAGATACTTAAGATACTTGATTAGAAAAAGAAGCCAGGTGTATTCATCTTTTCTCATGCTGCTAATAAAGACATATCCAAACTGGGTAATTTGTAAAGAAAAGGAGGTTTAATGGACTCATAGTTCCACATGGATCAGGAGGCCTCACAATCATGGTGGAAGGTGAAGTAGGAGCAAAGGCATGTCTTACATGGTGGCAGGCAAGAGAGTGTGTGCAGGGGAAATGTCCTTTGTAAAACCATCAGATTTCATGAGACTTATTCACTATCACAAGAACAGCATGGGAAAAACCTACCCCCATGATTTAGTTACCTCCCACCAGGTTCTTCCCACTACATGTGGGGATTATGGGAGCTAAAATTCAAGATGAGATTTGGCTGGGGACACAGCCAAACCATATCACCAGGTCTGAGAACCAACGATGAAAGTATAAGAAGGAGAACTAGGAAAAGGAGTATATTAAAAAAAAAAAAAAAAAACTAAAGCAAAATTTTCTTAGGATGTACCACAGTCTACAAGGTGGAAAAATAAGAGAAGGAATAAGAGCTATGTGGCAGTTAGATGGACTTTTGTAACTTTTATAAGAACAGTTTTCATTGAGTGTGAAAAGAATTGCTAGCCTACTCTATATCGAGGCATGAATCAGAAGCATTAAATCAAAATGGGCTGTAGACAACAACCTCCAAAAGTTTGGTAGTAAGGAGAAAGGAGGAGAAATTCAGAATCAACAAGAGATTTTTCTTTTTAATGGAACAAAAACTGTTGTTAGTGTTTGGAGGATTAGAGAACACCTGTAGGCTGAAGTGGGAAAAGAGTGAAGAAAATGATTGAAACGAGAAAAGAGAGTAATTTATCCAAGTCCCACAAGAATTCTGAGCAGTTGGGTCAAGAGTGCAGGTAAGGTTCTGAGTTTCAGAGAAAACTCAGTTTCCTTTTTTGTGATTTTTGTATTCCTTAAGTTTTCACAAATAATCACATATCACAAATATAATAAAAAGAAAAACAAATTATCTCTATGTTCAGCTCATGTTAAACCTGGATTCAAGTAGAGACGATGCATGCAGGGAGCCCCATGCACTGCCCGGCACCTGTTCACATAGTTCTCTTTCCTTCTTCTACTGAGTTAAGAGTGAATAGTAGATAATCAATGCATGATGATTTAGATAGTCTTAGAAATGGGCACAAGGAAATTTAATGAAATTCAACAGCTATGGTTTTTCTATATCTTAAATGATGCTAGGCTTAGAATATCTTTAGGCAAAAAGCAATAACAAATTAATACATTCTCTGATCCCTTTCAAGAAGGGATTCATCTATTTCTGTATGGTAGCTATTAAAGTAATGCTTATGATTTAGATCTTATGAAAGTACAATTCAGTTCATTAAACTAAGGGGCTGGAATTCCTGGATACATGGCTGCAGTTCTGACCTTTTCATCAGAGCTCTTCAGCCCCCAGTTTTGGGAGCTCAAATCCTATCATTTGAGAGAAATGCCAAAGGCAGACTGCCTTATTTATTGTTTTTTTAAATGCTGTAACTAAAAATAACCAAAATAATACTAAAATGGTTCTCATTTAGTAGTATCAGTTTCCCTGGGGGTCAGAGAGGTAACATATTTGGATTCTTGAGAGGGAACAAATAACTTCCAAATTTCCTATCTGTAGGCTTATTAAATTCTAAAAGCAAACTTACACAAAAGATTCCAGGCCATAAAGAATGTTATCACATGTGTAGTGCAAAATCCAGCCCAAACCATTTCAAAATGCCTCAATAACCTTCCATTATACTTTACACTTTGGACTCCAATTACCTTTTCATGGCTGCATGGGATAAGTGTCCATTTACTTGAGAGGTATGATACTTCTACATTATCCACGTAATGCTATCTCTTGAGTGTGCTACAGGATTGCTAGCTGAAAACAGCTTTCTTTTAGAAAAAGAGGGGATAGCTTTTCTTTTATTTTTTCCAACTTTGTGGGTACCTATTAAGTAGACCAGGGAGGAAGATACAATCTTTGTTTTAACCATTTGCTATATCAAATCTGTAGAGTACCTGCTCTTTGTTGCTGGAGTGAGAGCAATCAATAATAACAAAATCCAAAGATAATCCCATTGCTCCTCTTGAGAGGATATGCTTCACATGCTAGAGTGAACTACCCCATACTTCCAACTTCCCTTCAGTCTTTGTATATTTCACAATTAAGTGATCTTTATCTTCTCAAATAGAACTAAATTAAGCAACTGACCAAGGCATTTTAAACTTTCAACATGACCAATGTACATGTGGTGAAAGTCATCATAAAGTCCGCACCTATAGCATCTGTTCCAGCACTCTGTATTTACAATTAATTAGGAAATACGACAGCAATAATGAGTTCCACTTGAAAGAATTTCTTAAGATACAGAACCATAAAATGAAGAATTACCTTTACTAGAAACTTTTGCATAACTTTTAAAATTGTTAATATAACTGATATATCCTGGTTTAAACATATGTAGAAAATAAGTAAGCAGGTTGACATTATTTCTTTCTTTTTGCCTGCTACTGGGAGAAGAGAAGTAGGTACCTTTTAAATGATACAATTAAACGCTTTTGCAGGTACAATTTTGCCCTTTGGGGATGTAAGCATTAATGGAATAAAAATTTCAAAGATATTAGAAAAAGATTATTAGATAAAAATGTACACATAGTTTTTAGAATGTATCAGCCATTTATGGCAGCCCCCAACTTTTGAAATCCCTTCCCCATTCTGGCGGTTCACCAGTATCACGCATCTAGCCTTCCCTAAGTAGAATTCCTAAATTATTATTCTCAGGCTCCACTGACTTGAGGTGTAAACATTTGACCAACCTCCTCAACATTAGGTGTAAACATATGACCAGCTTCCTTTCTCTCTTTCTAGCAGACAGGAAAGACAAACGTGAATATTGTGTGACTGAGGAGTTCTGGCAAGCATAGCCTCATTGAGTTGTTGGGTTTGCTGCATCAGCCATAGAAAAAGTGCTAGCTGTTGATTCCTGACTTCATGGACTCAAGTAACTAGTAGAACCAGCAATCGGATTTCCATTAAATTAGTTTAGGCGTGTCATAGGTATTGCTCCTATTTTAGGCTCTATAGCATTCACATTTGATACCTGGTCCTCTCGGACATTCTGTAAGATACCAAATAACTTTTAGAAGTACTTGCCTGATGGAAGCAGTGCCACCTACAGAGGTCGTTTACTATTTCAGAACCTATAAATTTGACCCCAAAATGCTATTTTTTGTCAAACTTATTTTTATGTCATTTGATTTTCCAATCACAAAGGGACATTTCTTTATAATAAAATATTGTATTAACATAAATATGATAAAAATATGTGATTTTTCCGTAGGTGACCCACTTCTCCCAGAGATGTATTCTCTCAGAATAAATTATTATTATTTTATGTTTAAAGATTTTCAATTACTATATCTATTTCTATAATGACTTTATCATACCTAGAAAATACCCATATCCGGAGTCCCTATGAGTAGGTTCACAGGACTTCATTTATAACGTCATGCTACCGTCAAGTGAAATTGAGTGTCACAGGTGATAACCCCTTCAGTAGCTCCACATGTCCCAAAGGAAAAAATCACAAAGGAAAAACAAACAGACATGTCCCAATTACCTGCCGTACTACTTCTAATACCATATGACTTATTATTTATTGTTTAATGTTTAATTTCTGCCCCACTAGAATGTATGATTTGTCATAAGGGCAGGAGGTTTTGTTTTGATCATTGATGTAACCCAAGCCCCTGAAATGGTATTGGAACACCTTTGAAAGAATATTTATTGAATGAAAATAGTTGGCTACTTTGAGCCTTTAGATAAGTGGGGAGCTACCATCTCTATGGCTTACTTTTAGGTCACAATCCTCTGCTTGATAAATCTTATTCAAAACTGATCCCTGATACGTGTTCCATGAACAATACTGAGTTTTCTCCCATTTTTACTAGTCTTTGACTTCCAAAAGGGTCAAAATAGTAGTTGAATATGCAGCATCTTTTTAAAACTTTTTTAAAACATATTTTTAAAACTTTTTCTTATATTCTGAAAAATTATAACTCAGTTTAACATAAAAAAACAAGTAAAATGAAAATAAATTTACATAATCTATGAGCATTTCTGGAAATTTATGTCAATTTTATGGAAGTTTGAGTTGAGAAATTTTTCTTCCTAGTGTCAGATTTTTCCCCCTCTACTATTCAGTGTGGTGTACTGTAAACATTGCTTGGTTTCAAGGCAAACTGTGGCAGAGACAGGAGAATGGGGGTTGATTTTTAAGTACAGTCATACTTCTGACTTCCAGTGAAATGTTGTTACGAAAAACCTGAATGTCATACAGTTAAAAAAGAACAGTGACAAACAGTGTCTCATTCTATACACTTTTATATACATTAGTTTATTTAGTGCTTGCAAGAGCCTATTGGCATAGGTATTACAAACCAAACTTTTAAAGATATAAATGGTAGCCTATCCTTTACTTTTACAAAGCTTTTAAACATATATCCTAACACGTTAGATTTTAGTATTAATATGGTATTTCATTTACTCCAAATTTGAAGTAATTTTATCACTAACTGGATTTGTAATCGTAAAGCCATAGGGTAATTCACAACATGTCAGCTGCTTTCATAAGAATGATCCAACTAGAAGAACCAGAGAGACAGAATTCCATCCAAATTAATGAAAGTCTCAGTCTTTTGTAACCTAACTGTGGAAGTGATATTTCATCCCTTTTGCCATATTCTGTTTATTAGAAACAAGACATTAGGTCCAGCCCACACTCAAGAGAAGATTCTAAAGGGTGTGTATATCGGGAGGTGGGGATCAGTGGGAGTTATTTTGAGTCCTGAGATACTTGTGAAGGAATATGTCAGACATTCCTTTCTCTCTTTTTTTTTTGAAACTGATGTTTATTTTCCATCAACCTTATTTCCATGTTGCTTAAGACCCTGTGCAAGAGTAGCTTAAGACCATTCAGTGGTTGCTCCTACCCATTCAGTGGCCTGAGCAGACATTCCTTTCTTTAAAGACCTGCCTCAACTTCCTTCCTCTCAAGGTGAAATGTAAGAGATGAGCACAAATATGATGCTTCCCATCACAGGTCCTGTCATGTTCTCATGACATGACACCAATATGAGCCTGTTGCTCATATTTACTCTCCATCTCATCACTCCACATTTTCTCACCTTTATGGTTCTTGTGCTAGTAGATGCTTCTACCTACTACCTCAGTATCTACCTGCCTTAGGCCACTTCTTGTCTCTCATAGACTTTCTTACGGAACTGAGTCACAAAAAAGGCACACACTCAAACTTTTACTCAGTGCTTTGGGTATGTTCTGGGCTTCGGACATATCTAACTTCAAACGCATAATGCCTGAAGGAGCAGGGATCATTTTCATTTTAGAGATAAGTAAAATAAAACTTGTAAAAGGTAGGTGCCTGTCAACATCAGGCAGCTAGTGAGGGAAAAACTTGGATTCAATCACAGATGTATGGGAATTCGAACCCAGGCCCTTCACCTCTGCCTTGTTAGTAAATCTTGCCCTTGACATCATTTTCATATGCTTTTATTACATCTTACATACTGGCAAATATAATTTAATTCTTTTGTATGAAAAACATTTCCAATTTGATAATAATTGCTTAATAACTGCACTGAGTTTAGAGTAATCCTCTATTTCTGACCATTTGTGTTACATTTGCGGTTATAAAAATCTTCACTTACAAATGAGGGGGAAAAAGATACAGAGGGATAAATAATTTGCCCTTTCTCACACTGTTATTTTTGCATAAATTGTTAGTTCTCCCTCACTTCAACATATTTGCTCTTTGCAATGTCTTTTGACAGCTGTCTTTTTGCATGCTGTCTTTTGATCAGCTTCTTCTTGCCTGTGAAATATCAGCATGATTAAATGACATATGATAACTCTGGCAACTTTGATGTGTTACCTTCCAGTCTATCCTTCATTCATTACCTCTTTAATTGGCTAAGCAATCACATATTTGCACTTACAATGTGGCAGCATAATTCATGCCAACTTCTCTCCTTAGGGCTCGTGTGACCTCAGTGCCTAATACAGCCTCCATCTGCTCCATTTCACCCACTATTCTCTATTATAAAACCTCCTCAGCTATTACTGGCTGACCTCAGGGCCCCTCACACTGGCCATTTGCCATATGCAGTGCCTTTCAGTTACCCGCAATGTCAGGGTTTCAAATGCATTTCCATTACCATCCTTCCCTACACTCTACCACAGCATTAACCCTGCCTGCTAGCCAGAGACTGTTCTCTCTGAAATGCGAATGTCCTGGGGAGAGTGCAAACCATGCCACTCCATTTTAACTAGCCTTCTGAGGACCAGTTCCCAGTCCTTAAACACCTCGGCTTCATCTGTTGAATCTATTAGGCATAAGGCACTGTGAGAGTCTTTAGAGAGCATCTCACATTGATTCATTTGCTACCCAGGCAGCCAAAGAACCAGGGCAAAGTTATATATTGTCATGGCATTTATTAAGCCTGATTCTGTCCTCAGTGTGCAGGGGAGTATCACTTATAGTTAAGAATACCCCAAAGTTGCCATTTATCTTACCCTTTCTTTAAGAACTCTCAGTGCTTCTGCTTGAGTTTTGTGGAACTGCTACACTCTTTAAAAATTATTCTCTATCCTACCTCCACGTTTTTACCCTCTGTGTCCACTCTATTATTCACTGATGGAAAGTGCACCCAACACAATCAGGGCATCTGAGAAATACAGCTGATACCAAATGTTTCATCCCTCAGCTATCCATGCGAGTCTGACAATTGATTCATTGTCCTCTTATTTCTCTAGTCTCCAAACATATGGCTTCATATGTTAATAAAATTGACTCTACCTGTTCAGGCTAAAGCTTGCATGGGTGCACTTTTGCTTTTATTTTCAAAGACTTTAAAAAGAGCTGCATCTCTCCATGACAATTTCCTAGGATAATAAGCAGAACCTTTTAAGGAAAAGGTTTCAATTTGCCTCCATAAAAGAGAATACAATGTAATCATTATAATTTTCATCTGGCAAATCAAACTGCAACATCTCTCTGAGGGTTAGCATGGAGTAACTGTGTGAGTGGTAGATGTATGGCTATCTTACAAAGAATAGCTTGTTCACATTACTATACACTATTAATTTCTATCAAGTTTATCAACTGAATTTATTTCATTTTCTTTTGATTTCTTGTCTTCTTATTGAGGAAATGACCCTAATTAGCATAGATCAATGCAGTCTCCAAGGTGGAAGAATACACGAGCTAAAACTGTACATTTCTGGAACGGACTCTCCTACTTTTTGCTAGAGGCCATGGGGTAAGTTGAATACCTTTTCTGAGCCTCAATTTGCCCATGTAGGAAAAGGGAATAATGGTACACATTATTGTTGTGAAGATTAAATGAGCTAAATTAAACAAAGTGCCAATTACAATCTCTACCACAAGAAAGTGTCCCAATATACGCTTCCATTTTTTTTTTTTTTTTTTTGAGATGGAGTCTCACTCTCTCACCCAGGCTGGAGTGCAGTGGCACAGTCTCAGCTCACTGCAACCTCCACCTCCTGGGTTCAAGTGATTCTCCTGCCTCGGCCTCCCAAGTAGCTGGGATTACAGATGTGTGCCACCACACCTAGCTAATTTTTGTATGATTAGCAGAGACAAGGTTTCACGATGTTGGCCAGGCTAGTCTCAAATTCCTGACCTCAAGTTATCCACCCGCCTTGGCCTCCCAAAGTGCTGGGATTCAAGGCATGAGCCACCATGCCCAGCCAGCTGTTATTTTTATAAGAGAGACAAGAGAAACCATGGAAAGCCTTTCACTCCCCTAAAATCTCTATCAGAGCTGCATTATGCTTCTGAGGAAGTACTGAGAACATCTCTGCCTGTAGTGGCCTGTATACCTGTTCTGGATAATGCCAAACAGTGTCTGTGTCCCCTGGGTCCTATATTTTGGAGCACTGGGCTGATCAGATTAGTCTAGGCTGCAGTGGACTCTGCCAGCAGGTTCCCACTGCAGGGAACAGGAGTAACCTGAACTGAACAACCTCCCCAGTAGATTCAAACTTATTAAACCATTCTAACAGATACATTATATTATTGCCTTTCTTCCCACAGCAGAATAAGAAAAAAATGCACCATTTTAGCCAAACCTGACATTAACCATATGCCAAGCCTCTTGATGAGACCCACATACATATGATTCTACATCTTGCAAAGCTCACTAGGTGGACTTCATGAACTTTATTCACTGGAAAGCTGTAAGTACCCTTGACATCAAAGGCAATCAATACCCCCCAAAAAGACCATCTGAATACAGGTCAAGAAGCAGGAGCTATATCTATGACTCCAGAAGCAGAGATATTATATATCCCTAACTAAGAGTCACAGGGGATTTCTTGAACTAAAATGAAAGACAACAGGATAAGATGAAAAGCAGTGGGCCAGGGCCCAGCTTAGCCACTAATCATGTACATGACCTGGAGCAGTCACAAGGTCTCCGAGCTTCAGTGGTCTTAGCTGTAGCATGAGAAGATTGGGCTAAATAAACATTTTCAAAGTGTGTTCCAAAGAACACCAACCCAAAAAGGATTAATCATAAAAAAAAGCAGGTTCTTTGGTTTAGTTAGTTTGGGAAATGCTCCATATCAAGCAATTTTTGAGAAAGCTATTTTGGGAAAGCTACAGTGTCTCTTAGGGCAAAATCCTTTAAACTGTTTAACCTTGTATAAACCAGCATTTTTCTAGCCTGTTTGAACACTGTACTAACTGTCAACATTTTTCATAGCTGATGCTCCATGGAACATGCATGATAGACATAAGTCACCTCAAAAGTATCCAACCATGATTCCAAATCAGTTCCTGCTGTAAGAGATTTCTAATTTTGATTTGAACTAGTCTCCAGAGCAGAAGGATATGTCACTGAAGCAGGTATAGTCAATACTCTGACACTCATATAAAAGCTCAAAATCAACAAAAATTGGCTAAAGGCTCTAATGCAAAAGTAAGCATCAGTGCTGTGTTTACTTATTTGGGTTCTGTTTTCACTAAGATTTTGGCCTCAGACAAGTCTTTTTATCCATGTTGAGCAATAAATGTACTTTAAAGAATGCTTAGTCAAGTCAAATTGTCCCTGTTTGCAGATGACATGATTGTATATCTAGAAAACCCCATTGTCTCAGCCCAAAATCTCCTTAAGCTGATAAGCAACTTCAGCAGAGTCTCAGGATACAAAATCAATGTACAAAAATCGCAATCATTCTTATACACCAATAACAGACAAACAGAGAGTCAAATCATGAGTGAACTCCCATTCACAATTGCTTCAAAGAGAATAAAATACCTAGGAATCCAACTTACAAGGGATGTGAAGGACCTCTTCAAGGAGAACTACAAACCACTGCTCAAGGAAATAAAAGAGGATACAAAGAAATGGAAGACCATTCCATGCTCATGGGTAGGAAGAATCAATATCGTGAAAATGACAATACTGCCCAAGGTAATTTACAGATTCAATGCCATCCCCATCAAGCTACCAATGACTTTCTTCACAGAATTGGAAAAAACTACTTTAAAGTTCATATGGAACCAAAAAAGAGCCCGCATCGCCAAGTCAATCCTAAGCCAAAAGAACAAAGCTGGAGGCATCACACTACCTGACTTCAAACTATACTACAAGGCTACAGTAACCAAAACAGCGTGGTACTGGTACCAAAACAGAGATATAGATCAATGGAACAGAACAGAGCCCTCAGAAATAACGCCGCATATCTACAACTATCTGATCTTTGACAAACCTGAGAAAAACAAGCAATGGTGAAAGGATTCCCTGTTTAATAAATGGTGCTGGGAAAACTGGCTAGCCATACGTAGAAAGCTGAAACTGGATCCCTTCCTTACACCTTATACAAAAATCAATTCAAGATGGATTAAAGACTTAAATGTTAGACCTAAAACCATAAACACCCTAGAAGAAAACCTAGGCATTACCATTCAGGACACAGGCATGGGCAAAGTCTTCATGTCTAAAACACCAAAAGCAATGGCAACAAAAGCCAAAATTGACAAATGGGATCTAATTAAACTAAAGAGCTTCTGCACAGCAAAAGAAACTACCATCAGAGTGAACGGGCAACCTACAAAATGGGAGAAAATTTTCGCAACCTACTCATCTGACAAAGGGCTAATATCCAGAATCTACAATGAACTCAAACAAATTTACAAGAAAAAAACAAACAACCCCATCAAAAAGTGGGTGAAGGACATGAACAGACACTTCTCAAAAGAAGACATTTATGCAGCCAAAAAACACATGAAAAAATGCTCACCATCACTGGCCATCAGAGAAATGCAAATCAAAACCACTATGAGATACCATCTCACACCAGTTAGAATGGCGATCATTAAAAAGTCAGGAAACAACAGGTGCTGGAGAGGATGTGGAGAAATAGGAACACTTTTACACTGTTGGTGGGACTGGAAACTAGTTCAACCCTTGTGGAAGTCAGTGTGGCGATTCCTCAGGGATCTAGAACTAGAAATACCATTTGACCCGGCCATCCCATTACTGGGTATATACCCAAAGGACAATAAATCATGCTGCTATAAGGACACATGCACACGTATGTTTATTGCGGCACTATTCACAACAGCAAAGACTTGGAACCAACCGAAATGTCCAACAATGATAGACTGGATTAAGAAAATGTGGCACATATACACCATGGAATACTATGCAGCCATAAAAAATGATGAGTTCATGTCCTTTGTAGGGACATGGATGAAATTGGAAATCATCATTCTCAGTAAACTATCGCAAGAACAAAAAACCAAACACTGCATATTCTCACTCATAGGTGGGAATTGAACAATGAGAACACATGGACACAGGAAGGGGAACATCACACTCTGGGGACTGTTGTGGGGTGGGGGGAGGGGGGAGGGATAGCATTAGGAGATATACCTAATGCTAGATGATGAGTTAGTGGGTGCAGCACACCAGCATGGCACATGTATACATATGTAACTAACCTGCACATTGTGCACATGTATCCTAAAACTTAAAGTATAATAATAATAAAAAATAAATAAAGAAAGAAAGAAAGAAAGAAAGAAAATTGGGATTCCAAACAGGAATTGGGAATTATTGCTAAGAGCCTCATATAAATGGAATCTGCAGAACACTAATCAGGCATTTTTAAATAGATGAACTGACCCTCCACAAGTTCTATAATTAATTATGAGCTTGATCCTCTAAGCTCCATCATATTTAGAAACCTTGGACCCAAATGTCTGCCTGATAGTGTGGTACTTTCTATAGCCTAATTCATTGCCAGCAGGGTCATGGGAAGGTCACCAAAACTGGCAGAGAACTAAAAGGATGAGTTTATTTTCTGACTGATGAATTTGAGTCAATGTTAAATGATGGACAGAGCATAGAATTTAAAGACAGAATACTTGACCTTGAGTTACAATATTACACTTCAAAATGTACGTGATCTTGGAAAAAAAGTAAGTGTATGAGCCTTGGTTTCCAGATCTGTAAAATGAAAATAACTTTAAAAAATTTGTCCTTATTATCTCAAAGTTATTTTTAATGTTTAAATCAAGTAGCATATTTTACAACCATGTTATAAAGTACTATGCAAATATATACTATTTTTCAACTTAAAAGCCTTAATATCATATGCTTCATATAACTTGGCTTTCCTTAAAGGAAGGGAAAGAAAACTGATCTGATTTAAATAAGAACTTCACGTATCTGAAATTCATTAATTTTCTATTTTGAGGTCTCGATATTTGGATTATTTTATTATTTTTCTTGACAGATGTCATGACCAATATCCATCTTCACACAGGTACCCTAGGATGTTGTGCCAGGACACAAAGGTCAGGATGGGTTACGGCTTTTGAGATTGAGTTTTCCCCTGGAACCTGAAAAGCAACATTCCAAATGGGTGAAAGAGAGATGGATCCTTCTTGGGTTCATATTGAGGCTGCACGAGCCTTTTGAGGAGAAATAGTGATTTTTTTGAGGAGAATAGTGACTGAAAAATGAAGATGTGCACACTCCCTGTTAAGCAATTAAGTTTGGTAACAGGTAAAAATCATTACTTCTCTGTCTACGCTTATTTTATTTGGTGGTAAAACGCCAAAGACGTCACGTTACTCTACTGCCTTCGAGTAACTTCTGCTTGCCTTAAGTCCACTAGACCAAGTATGTGCTTAGTGAGATAACAAATGATGGTCACCAAAAATTGTTTTGAAGTGATATGCAAATACGTACTATTTTTCAACTTAAAAGTAAGCATAAAAAAGGCTAAAATCTTGAATATTCTTTCTTTGTAGGTCTGGAACTGGGTGTGGACTTTTTTTTTCAAAAAAGATCTCCAGATTATCCTAATGCACATGAGAGTTTAAGAATCACTATGTTTTTCAATAGCTTTCAGTTTGTTTTGTTTCAGTTTTCAGCCAAGTCTACTTCTCCCTATGATTCAGATGCTTTGCCACAAACGATTCTTTTTGTTATTACCCAGAAGGGCAAATTTTCTCCCCTTTTAAACTGGATTAAATAAGAGAGAGGATAGTAAAGGGATACAGGTGTTATAACAATGGGGTAGAGAATGATAAGGGAGCTATTGATAAAAGAGATTTCAACATATTTTTAGACAATAAAGATAAAAATGGGGAAATGTAACCGTTGAAGGAGGTGGAGGAAGATGCAGCCTAGACAATATCCCAAAGAGGAGTGACTGAGAGAGACAATCAGATTGCTAAAACCATGGAGATCACCAACATTCATTAGTGTAAGAAGGTACTCTGGAAAACTGGAGTAAGAACAGTGCTTCACTAAAACGAGAGCTCACTATTGAAACTGAAAATAGGATTTGCTGTTAATTTAACCACAGTTAAATTGCTTAACACTTCAGACATAGTTTTTCACAGCTGTCTTATCATAAGCAAATAGAAAAAAAAAGTTTAAAGAAATATGAACTGGTGTAAAAAGAAAAGAAAGACCTTCGTAATCTAGCATTGTAGAGACACACAACATGATGAATGGTTTCTTGCTTACACATGCTGTGGCAACCCCATCAGTGTCCAAGAACTGCAAATGGTACATACATTTCTCAATCAGCTTCTTTTTTACTGCTTCCTTTTAAAATATAATCAGATAAGCAACTATCCCCTGATATTTGATGAAAACCTACACTTTAAAACATATTTAACATCAACAAAAAAGAAAGAATGACTCCTCCCTAAACAGACACATTAAGGAACACCGAGAGCTTAGGAAAAAAAAAAATCCAGTTGAGACTGGCATGATCCAAGAAGATATTTTATCCATAAATTAAAATGATTCTGCCACATGAAATAAACTGAAGGAAACCAAAGGGTTTCTGAAAAAATAAAAATAATCACCAGAATAACAAATTAATCAGAACAAAGAATTAAATCAAGTTAATTACCTTAAAAGTTTGGGAAGGGGGATTTTTTAAAAGGAATACATAGCATTCTAAGAGTTATAACTTCTAACAGGAATTCCAGAAAAGGAGAACAAAGGAATGGAGAGAATTATACTATGAAATAACAAAAGAAAAAACATTCTTCTCCAGATTGAATGATGGAACCAAGTACCAAACATAATTAATAAATATACCTACATGCATAACTCTAAAATTTCAGGACATCTAAGGACAGGGGAATCTTTTAACCTTAGAGGTAGAGAAGGCTGTGGGCGGGAGGACATTTCCTAAAGAAGAATAAAAATGGGAGCAGTAATACTGCGTACTAGAAGACAGTGGAATAATTTCTTCAAAGGACAAAGAGAAAAATATTCTCAACCTATAACTTTATACCCAATTGAATCATTACTCAGATGCAGTGTTATGAGATTTAGGAGTCAGTGGATTCAGTGTCTTTAAGAAGGCAGGGAAAGGAAGCTCCAGGAAGAGCGTTGTGCCGAAGGTGTAGAGAGAAAGCATCCCAGACTGCAGAAGGAGAACTCATAGTTCTGGGTAGAGGTCTCCTGAATAAAGAAAGAGCAGTAACATACCTGATCAAATGTTTGAGTGAAGAGACTAAGGATACAACATAAGAAAAAATAAAAGCCTATGGAAAATTTAAGAAAAACAAAAACTTGTACAAAAAGAAAGGAAAGAAAAAAGCATGATACACAACTTATTTCTGAAGTGAATCAGACAATTACATACATAATAATAATACTGTATTCTACTCTTGGTTTACTGATTTAACTAAATAGGGATATAATTTTATTGGAACGTAGGGTAGGAAATATAAGATGTGGTGTAAAAAGGTGAAAGTAATCTGTTTATCATGGAAGAAAGCCAAAAGATCTTGTCAAAAATTTTAACCTAAATATTCTTAAAGACACAGTATTTAGGGGTAAGAAAGGACTATCTAGTAAATTTCTATAGGAGTCCAAATGAATGCATTTAGAGATGAAGGCTAGTGAATGGCTGAAGCTGAGACAGGAGGAGCTTACTTTCCATAAAAAACAATTAGTAGTCATTGATTTGTTTTAATCATGTGCATTTTAGTCACAATTTGAAAGCTACATTATGAAAATATTAATTGCATATGACAACTCTGAAAGAGTGGAGGTGTAAAAAGGCTTCCAGAAGCTACTGCAGTGTACTGGGTAGGAATGGCTTGTGACATGAATCTATGACAGATTTTAAACATCATTCAGATGATATATCGAAAAAAATTTAGATATATTTACTCAAGTTATACACTGCAAAGCTTCTTTACCAATGAAATTTGCCTTATTCTTTCATTCTATACTTATTTGGAAACAATTCTAGATATACAAAAACAAAAAAACATTAATAGTAAAAAGAGTTCCCATTATATACTTCATCCAGCTTCTTTTAATGTTAACGTCTTAGACAACCATAATGCAATTAAAGTATACAAAATTAACATTGATTCAATAAATATAATCTACAAACTGTGATCTGAGAGACTAAAATAGACTTCCCTTTGTCAATCAGTGGAGACCCTTCCATTAAGACAACAAAAGTTACCTACAGGCCAAGGGTTTGGGGCTTGGCTAGCATGGCAAATCTCTAAAATCCTATGGCTACAGGAAAAACCACATCCTTGCTACACTCCCTAACAATAGGTTATCAGGTAAATTGTGAAACCCTTCCTAACTCTGATTTATAACCCAGGTCACTACAACTCTAACTGGACAAAGGACAGGACTTACAAAACACTCTTTCTCTCTATTTTTTTTTTTTTTAGATGCAATCTTGCTCTGTTGCCCAGTCTGGGGTGCAGTAGTGTGATCTTGGCTCACTGCAACCTCCACCTCCGAAATTCAAGCAATTCTTCTGCCTCAGCCTCCCATACAGCTGAGATTACAGATGTCACCACCAAGTCCGGCTAATTTTTTTTTTTGAGATGGAGTCTCGCTCTGGAGTGCAGTGGTACAATCTCAGCTCACTACAACCTCCACCACCCAGGTTCAAGTGATTTACCTGCCTCAGCCTCCTGAGTAGCTGGGATTATAGGCGTGTGCCACCATGCCAGGCTAATTTTTGTATTTTTAGTAGAGACACGGTTTCGCCATGCTGGCCAGGCTGGTTTCGAACTCTTGACCTCATGATCTGCCCGACTCAGCCTCCCAAAGTGCTGGGATTACAGGCATGAGCCACCACATCCAGCCTAATTTTTGTATTTTTAGTAGAGACAGGGTTTCACCATGTTGGCCTGGATGGTCCCGAACTCCGGACCTGAAGTGATCTGCCCATCTTGGCCTCCCAAAGTGCTTTACAGGAGTGAGTGACTGCGCTCAGCCACAAACATTCTTTTTTTGATAAGTAACTGTAATCTTCAAGCCAGTTTCAGTCAGCTTATAGGGACTGTGCACAAACTGTCTTTGTGTCTTATAGTTCACCTTTTGATGTAAAGAGCCAAACCTGATTTCATTTTAATGCTAAAACCCCACCTCAAACTAAACATGGGATTTACATTACATATATGTTTACCTATTGCCCATGCGCTTGTTTCCTCTCATAAGTACGTATAGCTTTTCCCCCAAAACTGCTGAATATATATGACCGTAATGTGTTATACAGGGCATGTGAGGCGTAAAACTCAACCTACGCTTTCTCTTCGTGAAGAGAGAGCCCATTTGATCCACGCTAGAGACTGTATCTTCTTAGTTTGCAAACTGATATAATCAATAAAACTCTCTTTTCTACTATTAAGACATCCTGTTGGTCTTTGCAATGATAAAACCTTATTTGAATTTAACCAATTTTCTCACTAATATGCTTTTTTCTAGTTCAGGATCCGTCCAGGGTTGCAATTTCATTGGACTGTCATGGTTCCTTGCTCTTCCTTATTCTTCTTTTGTCAGTCTTCCTTTGCATTTCATGAAGTTGATGCTTTTTTTAAGAGCCAGGGATTCTATAGAATGGCCCTGAATTTGGGTTTGTCTGATGTTTTCTCATGACTAGACTGAGGTTATGCATTTTGGGCAAGACTTTCACCAAAGTTATATTGTTTCCTTCTCAGTATATCATATTGGGAGGAATATGGTTCAAGTGTCTCCAAACTGATGATTTTACTTGGTTGAAGTGGTGTGTGCTGAGTTTTTCCAAAATGAAGTTATGACTATTCCCTGTGTAATTAACAAGCATTTTGTAGGAGGAAGTCCTCAGCCTTTCTTAAGTCTATCATTTTATCTGTCATTAAAAGTGCAGTGCATAAAAATTACAGTTATTTAACTGTCTCTATTATTTGAAGCCTTTTGCAATGCTTCCTCAAAAGTTTTTCATTTATTCATTCCATAAGTATCTTTTTAATTATTTAAGACACTCTGCATAAAATCTCACCCTCAGGCTGGTGGTCATTTATGCTGTTGACTGTAGTTGTGCCCAGGCTGATAGAAATTTGACCCCATCCTGTATAATATCTGCAGATAGGAACAGTTGTTCCAAACAGATCTTTTGGCCTGGCCTGTGGTAATGATATGGGGATATAGATGATTTTCTCACCTTTTCAGTGGTGATGGCTATGGGGCTGAGGTGGGCATTTGGCTACCCTCTGTGTGAGTTCCACATTATGAGATTCATGCACGATGAAGCAGATCAGAGATATGCAAATTTTCCTTAGACAGAATATTCTCAGATGAGCTTTTCTTGGCTGTAAATTGATTAAATGCATTAACCCACTTAAGGAAAGAATGTGTCAGTCAGAAAGGGACCAACTAGTCTATGGAAGCACAGAGAAGAGCCACTTTACGAAACTTAGCAGCATATACTCAAATAGGATCTAAAGGAGAGAGTTTTAGTCTCCTTTATGAAGGTTTCATTTAGGCTTGTTGCAGTCAAAACTCTAAGGACTAAAATTAACTCCTCTTGTTCGGAGCCCAGCAGAAAAACTGTGTATTTTGGATACCAACAAAACAAATTGCAAAAAGAAAAAAAAATCGTTTTAAAAGAATATGATATTTGATATTTCAATGAAGTTTTAAAAGTATTCATCATAAAAAAAATAAAGCTTTTGTTGGACTTCTTTCACATCTTTGTAGATTTTATTGTTTATATTTTGAATAATATAAGGGAAGTTGGGAGGCACACTAAAATGCTTGTGGCCTCTAAAGGTCTTCATCTTGCCCTGTTTTGATCACATGCTCACCAAGCAATCTTTGTGTTGTAATTTAACTTCTCGTACAGGAGGCGTTATATGGTTTCCTGGAATGGAAAGTTGACATTAGTATTCCAGTCCGTGTAACAGCTATTTTTCCCATCATAAATCAATAAATAGGCATTCTGGTTTTATGTATTGGTCTGTGAGCTTGTGTAATTTGAGTCAGCCACTGAGGTATGGGATACTCTAACTGAATGGCAATGTCAGGTATCCAGGTCTGTCCATCTAAAACTAAGAGTCTGGTCAATGAAACAAAGGAAGCCCTTGCAGAAGCGTCATTTACTTCCTCTTGGAGAAAACATTTGACTTAATTTCTATTTATCAATATCCACCTACATTTGAGGATTAATTCTTCAAAATAGAAGCTTTTTCTCAAGAAAGTGCTATATGTTCATGTTTGAGAAGATAGAATAAATATTAGCACCTAGCAAGAAAAAACAATGTGGATTCCAGGTCTTTACCTGCAGGGTTGGAAACCTCTTAACTAACCTCTTAGGAGCAAGCTAAATTAGGAAAGTAAACAAAAACAAACACTGAAGTTGTGGAAGTTAAGGTCCAAAAAGAATAATTCTTCCAATACCACTATGTAGTGTTTTGTTGTTGTTGTTGTTGTTAATCTCTCATTTCAAGGAGTTTAATATTAGAGAACAAGGTAGCTACACATGCAAAACTCATATCACAGAGATATTTTCATATCTGTAATGAAATACAGGCTGGGAGGAGCTAGTTTCATGTAAAATAAATCCCTTGAGAAGAGCATAGACATACAGTAGAGTCAAGGTTTTTGAAGAAGGAGAGTTCGGTTAGGAAAAACGACATGACAGATTCAGAAATACTCCTCAACAGTTTGGAAACAGGGTTGAGATGTAGAAATGATCAAATGAAATTCAATACGTGTGAAAGCAAGAGATTGCAAACCTGACAGCAATCTACAGGTGGATAATGGATGGTCTTGAAGTCATGTTTGTGATCTTGGCATTTCACAGCAGAAGCAAATGGGAGCCCTATAATTTTCTAGGTAGTGGATGCTTGATGTATCATAAATACTCTCTTCTTTTCCCACAGAAGACAATGGTTTCTGTTAAGTGTCAAAACAGAGAGAAGGAGGTTCTGAAGGCAGAAAGGCAGACTAAAGTGTGGTGGTTTTTTAAAAAAAAAAAAAATGTACAATAAACATTAGCGTTTTTTTTTTTTTCTGAGTGAGTGCCCAAAAGTTTTTTTTTTTTAATTTTTTCTTAAAGGGAAATGTATTCCAGAAAGCAATGCTAATCAATCTGCAAACTTATATTGAGAACCTATTATCTGGGCAATTAGTCAAGATGTAGAGGGGAAAGTAGGAATTGATAAAATGGAAGTCAGCCTTTAATTTGTTTACTATCTAGTTGGGGAGTAAAGATTTATACACATAAAAGGTTAACTAGAAATATAAGGCAGAATGTTAAAAATCCTCAGCAAGTGATTTCATCTCTCTGGGCCTTATTTTCTTGATCTAGAAACATAAAGCCTGTTTAAAAGTTCTAGGATGCTGAAGTGCCAAAGGAAATCCTCACACAATTAGGAGTTCAGAGAAGGGAGGAAAGTGTAAGATGGGATAACCAGGGGACACTTTTGGGGTATGAGTCCTGAAGACTAGGTAGACTGAATTTGCAGGAAAATCTGAAGGACAGAATAGTGTTTGAGAGGATGCATGAAAATAATCTTTCTCTTTCTAAAATACAAAACATAATAGCTTTTTAACATACTACACCTACCTTGACTGTAGTTGCCTCTTAAACATCCATTTAAAAATGAACATATGTCCACTATCTATTGTTCAAAACCAGACAGGTCTTTGGAGTCCCCTATGTGATTTCTCTAACCTTCTGCCCACTAATCCCCTTGACTTCCTCTGCTCCTGCCATTCCTAACTGCTCATTCTGCCTTGAACTCCAGATGTTCCTCCTGCCTTAAGCTCTTGCTTTGTGCTTCAAATGTCTTCCCAGGTCACCTTGCTTGCCTGGCAAATGCCTTCCTAATCATCCTTCAGCCAACCAGCAGGAGACACCTCTTTCTTTATGAAGTCTTTTCTACCTTTTTAGTCCCCTCTTGGAGAGTTGATTGCTTCTTCCTTTTGTTATGACTGTTGGTGCACCTACATACTTTTGTTGTAACCTCATCTCATGCCTCAACTCAATGGCTTACTTTAGTCTACCTTTACGTGTTCAGAACCTCCTTCTCTCTGCTTCAACACTTAGCAGAAATTACTGCCTTTTTAGGGGGAAGAGAAGAGAGTATTTATGGTACATCAAGCATCTATTACCTAAAAAATTACAGGGCTCCCACTTGCTTCTGCTATGAGAATAGTTCCCCTATTTTTCTGTGAGTTATCTTATGTTAGGAGTTATATGTTTAATTTGTCATTTTCCTCTCAGTGCATGGCAGTGTGCCTAGTTTATAATAGATGCTCACTGAGATAAGTACATGTGAACAAGTTAACTAAGTCCTTTGGGTGACTGTTACTTAACCCTGTCTTTTTTACCTTCAAAATTTAGACCCCATGAGTCATGTAAAGAGTAAATTAGAAATAAGTTGTTGCTATTCTTCTTTGGCCATATTTAAGTGTCTTGATACTAGGAGTATTTGCCTTCAAAACCATGTTTCAACAATAGAGTGCTAAGTAGGCATAAATGAAAGTAAAACGAGAGCTCTGCGAAACCATGGCTTTTTTACAAGAAACAAATTTTATGAATCATTGCCATTTTGAATTTTTACCCCAGTATTTTGTCCTAAGGGCTCTTGTTCACTAATGACTTGGAAAAAAAAAAACTGCAAAGAGAAAGTTATCAGATCTATCAATTATGCTTACCACTAACGCTATTGTCATTTTTCTCCTCACAAACGTTAAATAAAGGCCAAGTCAGATTATAATGCAGCTAACATTTTTTCTTTCAGGATAAGCAAAATAGATGCCAACTAGAGCAGAAAGTATTGCTTTTTCCCATTCTTTAATGGTTTGATGACTGCCTGGGAGGGCCTAACTAGCTTTCTGGAATCAGACAACTTTCTCACTGCCCAGGACACGTCAGGCTTGATGCCATCCCTGCCATTTGAGGATAATGAAGCATCATCCACTGTCAGAAATAAGAACTTACTTAATGAATAAGAAAGCTGGCAATCATAAACAAGAAAAGTGCCTCAGCAGCATTTCACATCATTAAAACATCTCCAACTTGATTCCTTTTTGTCCTTTTGTTACATTCTTGCTATTTCTCTAAATATCTTAACAGATGCTTCTTATTTCAGTAAAATTTGTATCTTTTGCCCACCTCCAACATGTTCTCTCTTATTCTTTTTTAATACTCCAACCATTATAAAGTTTACAATTACATGCCTACCCAGAGTAGAGTGTTATAAATATTGGATCAATGGCCATTTTAATCTTTCCTCTCTGGCTCTTTGAAATAATCTTAAAACTACTTTGAAAACAGTATTTTAAGATTGTTTTACATAGAAATTCTATCATCCCTCAAGAAGCAGTATGGCTCCAATATTCAGATTTCACTGTGAGGCTCTTACCTATCTAATTCATATCTATTTTCAGATTTTGTTAAAAGAAATTTTACAGAGGCTACTCACTCATATTTGGAAGAAAAACATAATCTAAGAAACAAAAGAAATGTGTGTGGAGGGGAGAAATAGGTATATAACAACTTAAAGGGTTTGAATTGCTAATTTTTAGTACTATTTTATGTAATACTTTTTGCAAGATCTAAATAGATGCATTGCAACCATTTATAAACTTCTATATGAGCAGCATACAAGGACATTCCTGGAATACAGAAAGCACTGAAATCAAATCCCAGTTTCACTTACTTCTAGGAAGATTCCCTAAGGTTTAGTTTATTCATCCAAGATACAGAGCAAAAGCTTTCCAGCCAGACAGACAAGGATTAACTCCCAGTTCAATGTGGACTAACTCTTTGGGTAATATATTAAGCTTTCTGGGCTTCAGTTTTCTTCCTGTAAAATGAAGATTATAGCTGTAACTATATCATAAGGTTGTTGTGAAATGAGATAATACATTTATAGCACTTCTAACAGGACATGGTACGTGTGATGTAAGCTTTTTTGATTGTCGCCTACACAATGAGCATATTAATTCATACCCCATGCAATTTTTATGCGGCATAAATTAAATTACAACTAGGATTTTTGTGGGGAGTTTTAGTTTTCAAATCACTTTTCACATGTACATCAAGAACATATTGAATGTGTTCATATCCCTTATCAATAATATAATACATTAATGTGCAAATTGAAAAAAATATGTTTGACTCTTTACAGAATGACCTATAAAAATCTGTGCTATAAAATGCAAATAAATATTGTTTAAAATATGCTACAAAAATAATATTTATAATACTTAACATTTATGTGTCCATCACTATGATAAGTGCTTTATCCGCACTGCCTCATCTAATCATCATATAAGCTTTGAGGAAGGTATTGTTAGCAGTATAAAAAGCGAAGTAAATGACTCAATGCTATTCAGCTAGTTAATCATGGATGAGGCTTTGAACCCAGGCACTTTGAATCCAGTTCTTATGTGAATAACATACCAACTTACTTTTCAGTGGTCAGGAAGTGCCTCTAAAACAAACCAGATAAACAACTCAAACTACGTGTGAAGAAAAGATATTTACTCATCTGAGTCAACTCATTGCTACTTTTTGTTTCTATTAACTTTGATATTCTGGCTGTCTTTAAGATTATATTTTTTAACTTTGGTTTTCTGTAGCTGTATATTATGATATGGCTAGGTATGGATTTCTGTTTAATTATCTTAAGATTTTTGGGTCTCCTTAAAGCCATAAAGTGGTGCCTTTCATTTCTTCTAGAAAATTCTCAGCCATTTTCATCTCAAATAATGTCTCTATCCTATTTTCTTTCTGGGACTCAAATACCTATTAGGCCTTCTTTCTGTGTCCTCCATGTATTTGACCCTATCTTCTGTAATTCCTACCATTGTGTCCCTTTATGACACCTTTTAGATTAATGCTTTTTACACTTAAATATGCATATAAATCACCTACAATCTTGTAAAGTGCAAATTCTGACTTAAGCCTGGGGTGAAACCTGAATTTCTACATTTCTAACATGGCCACTAGTTTGTCTGCTGGTCCATGGATTATACTTTGAGTAGAAAGAGTCTATGTAACTTCTGACCTGTCTTTCTATTTACTAATGCTCTTTTCAGCAGTGTTTAATTTGGTCATCAACCCATCGATTGAGATCTCATTTTTTTCTTATTGCTTTGTTTTTAGTTCTAAAACCTCTGTTTGGTTATTTTTCAAATCTAGTGCCACCCAGGTAATGAGTATAGTACCCAGTAGGTAATTTTTCAGCCCTTGCACCCCTCCCTGCCTCCTATTGTACTCTCCAGGGCCTACAGTTCCTATCTTTATGTCCATGCATACCCAGTGTTTAGCTCCCACTTATAAGTAAGAACACGCAGTGTTTGGTTTTCTGTTCCTGTGTTAGTTCACTTAGGAGAATGGCCTCCAGCTGCATCCATGTTGCTGCAAAGGACATGATGATTTTGTTCTTTTTTATGGCTGTGTAGTATTCCATGGTATATATGTACCACATGTTCTTTAAACAGTCCACTGTGGATGAGCACCTGGATTGATTCCATGTCTTTGTTACTGAGAATACTGCTGCGATGAACATACGGATGCAAATGTCTTTTGGGTACAATGATTTATTTTCCTTTGGTAATGGGATTTCCCAGTAATGGGATTGCTGGGTCGAATGATAGTTCTATTTTCAGTTCTTTGAGAACTCTCCAAACTGCTTTCCACAATGGATAAACCAATTTACATTCCTACCAACAGTGTCTGTGTTCCCTTTACTAAGCAGCCTCACTAGCATCTGTTATTTTTTGACTTTTTAATCATAACCATTTTGTCTAGTGTGAGGTGGTATCTCATTGTGGTTTTGACTTGCATTTCTCTAACGATTCCTGATGATGAGCATTTTTTCAGATGTTTGTTGGTCACTTCTAGGTCTTCTTTTGAGAAGTATCTGTTCATGTCCTTTGCTGCTGTTTAACAGGGTTATTTGTTTTTTGCTTGTTGATTTAATTTTCTTGTAGATTCTGGTTATCAGACCATAGTCAGATGCATAGTTTGCAAATATTTTCTCCCATTCTGCAAACATAGTGAATAAGTTCATTTTTAAAATGTCTGACCATTCCAATCTGCTTTTGTTCTTTCTGCTGCTTCTTTCTAATTAATATTTTGTTGCTGTGTGTGCTCAGTTAACTTTGTGTTTGAAAAATTATCTATACGAATAATTTGAGGCTTAGAAGAAGGCTTCATTCTTACTGACAGCATTGTTGTTTACTTCTGTCATTTGTCTAGAGCCCCTTACCAGTCTGAGAAGATTTTCCAATTGAGCAACTTGCTGCAAGTTCACATAAGACGTTTACTTGCAGTTAAAGACACCCATGAAAATATAGCTATTCAGAGGATCAGTTTAACAGACAGACTCTCCACCTCAGGTGACATTGCTTTAACTTCCGTCTTCATAGTTCCTTAAAACCATCAACATGAAAGCTCATTGCTTTTTACAAAATATATACAAATTTTATTTCTCAACATAAGCTCCATCAAGGTCAAGACACTTTTTTAAGCAATGACAGCAGCCATTTAATCCATCCCCCAGAAGGTCCTGGGAATTTTCCAATGGGAGAATTCTATAGGCAAATTATCACTATGACTTGAACCTACCTCTTTGAATTCTCATCTACTCCAGGATTTTAGTCTCATAATTGTTTGTCTCCTTAAAAGTTGTTTGGTACTTTTTAGTTTTTCCTGGATAGAATAGTTTTTCAAAATTCTCTAGCCTGTAATTACTAGAATCAAAAATTCTGGCTACATACACTTTATCTCATATATCAATTTTTATTTTATCTTGAAGCTCAATGTTGTCTTTCCCTTGGTGTCATATCAAATCTTCTTTAAATAAACATCTATTACTGACACTAATACCTACCCCCAGGAATTTATTAGAGATCATGGTTACAGTCCAACCCCTGATTTCGTACTCCAAAGATGTAGCAAATAGCTCTTCAACATTTCTGTTCCTTGGCCTTTTTCTAGCTACACTTCTTCCAGGAAACCCTAGTAATTCTTCCAAGTGAGGCAATTGAAGAGAGGCAATGGCTTCAAGGAGAAAGGGAGCTAGGGGCCACACAATCTTTAAAATGATCTGAGTGAGTACTAATACTTTTAGGTGAACAGATAAAAATCATCTGTGTAACAGTATGTACCTAAATAATATGCCAATTCTCTGGCTACTAATTCTCTGGATTAAGGCCACCTGATTTCTGACTGAGTTCCATTCTTTTTTTTTTTTTTTTTTTTTTTTTTTTGAGACGGAGTCTCGCTCTGTCGCCCAGGCTGGAGTGCAGTGGCGGGATCTCGGCTCACTGCAAGCTCCGCCTCCCGGGTTCACGCCATTCTCCTGCCTCAGCCTCCCAAGTAGCTGGGACTACAGGCGCCCGCCACTACGCCCGGCTAATTTTCTGAGTTCCATTCTTTAGACCTTTTATTCACTCCTCACTGACGTGTTTCTCCTTGTGTGTTTGGGAGAAGGAAGTTTACATTATGGGGAAAATCCTGATACCTGAGGTTCACTTTCATGATAAACTTAGCAAACACTCAGGTTTTGACTCTGCCCAGTTCTGGAATAGAAGAACACTAGCAGAATTATTTTAACTTGCTTACTTCAGCAAAAGTTAGCCATTTTACCATAAGTCTGTTTCATGTTAGAGAATTTAATTTCCATTGGCATTATTTTAAAATAATATATTTTTTATTCCATATACCGACCAAATTTTTTTAATCTTTTTTTTATTATTATACTTTAAGTTTTAGGGTACATGTGCACAACGTGCAGGTTTGTTACATATGTATACATGTGCCATGTTGGTGTGCTGCACCCATTAACTCATCATTTAGCATTAGGTATATCTCCTAATGCTGTCCCTCCCCCCTCCCCCCACCCCACAACAGGTGTGTGATGTTCCCCTTCCTGTGTCCATGTGTTCTCATTGTTCAATTCCCACCTATGAGTGAGAACATGTGGTGTTTGGTTTTTTTGTCCTTGTGATAGTTTGCTGAGAATGATGGTTTCCAGCTTCATCCACGTCCCTACAAAGGACATGAACTCGTCATTTTTTATGGCTGCATAGTATTAAAGGAAACAGTAAACACAGGATTTCTATCTTCATCCTTGTTAGAATGATGGCATACCTTTTTAAATTTTATTTAGCAACTGTTCATACTTACAATAAATTGCATATTACATTATATAATTAGCACTGATTTAATCAATTGTCTGCTGATAAGCCCAAAACAGATTTAATGAGTAGCAAGCCAAATATATAAATACATATACATATAATTAAATTAGTGTTTGAGAAATATTGAACATACTATAAAATAACTCATCAATTAGTCACATTCACACACTTTTGACATGTCCACACACTTTTGACCATGAGCATACTTAATACCATTTAATACGGGATTTACTGGACCATTACATTGTGTTGAGAATGAAGCATAAAACACGATTTCTGTCTTTAAAAGATAAAATATGATTGACATCTTGAAAAACAATATACGCACACAAATTAAGTGCGAAGAGATGAAAGGCGGCAGAGGTAAGTAGCTACATTAGGGACAGCAGATTGAGGAAATAGGTGAGGTAAATATGAGTACAGTAAAAGCTTCTGCTGGAGAGCAGTGGGACAGATGCCTGGATGAAAAAGGAGATTTGATGTTACTAAGAACTGAAAATTTTTACCTAAGGAATTTGTATTCGATCATCTATTTTGGGGGCATTCTAAATTTCCTGGATAAGAAAAAGCACAGTAAATAAGAGTTTACAGCCATCGGAGATTTTCCCAGTATTACTGACAGAAAGTAAAGAATGAATTAGTGTTGGGCAAATCTTGAAGTAAAAAACAAAAACAAAAACAAATCGCATTCTTTTAAAAGCCAATTTTAAAAATTAAATGCCTTTACTTAAATAGGCCATGTAAAAATAACATGAAGATGTTTTCAGAAAAGGATCACCAGGCCCAATTCCTGAATATTCAGATTTAGTAAGTCTGTGAATACCTGGGAATCAGATAAAGAAATCTGGAATAAAGTAATTGTAAGAAAAAATAAATGACTGGTGCAGAATAGTGATAGTAGAAGCAGACAAGAAATTTATCAAAAAGAGTTTCCCAAAAACAGCCTCATGAGTATTTAGATTCTGGACATGAAAAGCAAGAGAGGGAAATATCATATCAAAGATAACTTTGAAACAAGCATATAGTAGTACATAAAAAATGGTGATTGACTGAATAACTGTTTTTAACAATGAAGTTCACCTTCAGTAGAATAATATAAAAATAAATGCTTTCATACCATTAGTCCTTAAAGATATAGTGAGAATGAGAAAAAGTAAAATTACAACAGAATAACTAGACCCCAATCTCCCCTGTGATGATTGACTGGTAATTTAATTATCGCTACTAATCAACCTCATAGAAACGAACAAACAAAAAACCTATAATCAAGGGAGGAACTGATCACATCTAATTTCCCTAGATACACAGTTTAGCAGAGCAGAAATACCCAGGCATTATTACCAGGTAGAAATTATACCTGGCCTGATTTTGCAGAGATAATTATTTTCTTTCTAGAGGCAATCTTCAGTTTTGTTAATCTTTAAAATGGGTCACTTCTGGAAGCAATGAAGACAAATAGAAACTTTAGTGTGAAGTATATGACCATGAATCAGAACATTCCGGCTCTTTTATTAACTCCTACTGAGTGAATTCCTTTTTGGAATGAGGGAGGAATATACAATCTCACAGGCTTACCTCAAGCAAGTCTCTTATTCTTCCTCAGCCTGTTTCCTATAAAGTAAGAAAATCGAATTAAATAGTCTCTACATTTATTCTGGTTCTAACCTTGTTTTGAATTTTGTTATAGAGATGGTCAGTCTGGTGCAGCCAGAAGATAAGCCAGAGGAGAGGTTCAGGAAAACAAAATTTATAATACAGGTCCTAGAGATAGGAGGCAGATCATGCCATCCACAGTCACATGGGAAAGCATCTGTGTGGTCAGGAGGCAAAGGACTGGAGTGAGCGGCATGTTTAGGGAAGAGCCTTTACGGGGGTTTCTGCAAGAAAGTCCAGGCAGGGCAGGGTGAACAGGTTAGGCTTGGCTAGTTTGAATAGTTTCTGCAGGCTCTGCACTACAGTGGTGGTTACTGTTTGTCTGGAGCCTGGCACTGCCTTGATGAAGGCAAAGGAATATTGCCTCTTGGAGTGTAAGGGTCAGACAGAGAAGGTGTGACTCTGGATTGATTAATTTGCATATCAAAAGCATGTTCCTGGCTGGGCCCTTGCTATAACTAAGAACTGGCTCTCTCTCCTGGGAAAGGCAGTCTCTCCCTAGACAGAAAGAGTTTTTAAGATTTCAAAACATCTTAATATACATACATACACACAAAGCACGTATATTTTACTCATTTTAGTGTGTGTGCCACATGATCAGCCAGATATCCTATAGCGATTAAGTTATATCTGAGAAATCCTTGAGAAAATTCAAGATTTACTTTTGCTAATAACATTCATATAGCATTATTTTAAAAATAATAATGACAAATGCTGAATTGTCACACTCTTAAAATTGTTGATGGCAATAATAATAACATCCTTTTTGCACTAATTAACATTAATTCATGAAAAAAATAATTATCCTATTTCTCAGGCTTCTTATGAGCCTCTCAAATTTCTTTAATTCTAATATAAACAATATATTTAGTAATTTAAGAATGTCAACCACTCAACTGATATTATTGAAACAGTTTTCAATAATGGCTAATCCTTTGGGTAAGACACTGAAATGGGTAAACTGTATTTTCAAGAGGGAAAAGATGAAAAATGTAACTGACATACTATTCTCACTTAAACATTTCTTAATTTCAATGAACTATATATGTTCATACAAATGTGACACATAAACATGCATATGTCTTGCATCCACATGTTCAGTGTTACCACTGCATGTCTATGCACAAAAGTGTCTCTACTGATAGAAAGGAACATAAAGGGATATTCCACATCTCCTGGCAGTTGCCTGTTCACATAGATTTACCATTTCTTCCTCTTACTAGTTCTCCTGTAAGAAGTTGAGTCCTCACTTCTAATGGCCACCTATATTTTGATCTTACAGTCCATTAGAGAATGTGCTCACCTCTACCTTCCTTCCATCTCTCTTTAGACTGCCTGTGTGCACAGGAAACAACACACATTCAGCCATAAATGGCTGGCTTTCAGGACACTGGCCCTATCAGTTCTCTCTAGCCACTTTAGACAACACATAAAACCTGCACATATACACTTGTGAGAAAATTCATGGAACACATTATTTTTGCATCTTGAATCCTCTATATAACAAAATATTTTGCCTGAGCCAAAGGTCAGTCAGAAAACTGCAGTTAGGTAATCCCTTAAGTTTTCTGTGTACTCTAGGCAGACTAATTTCCTAACTGCCAGAAACTTCAGGCTACTTCTCAACATCAAGAAATGGTAAAGGATGCTGAAGTAGATGCCAGGGTCCTAGGAGATCAGTTAGAAAAACTATGAATCTATTCCATAAATATTTTTCTGAGTTGTACAGTCTAGTCTGATGGACTAAAGGACCCCAAAAGAGCCAGCTGAAGGAAAATACATAGGAGTCCTTAGGACTGAAGTGAAAAACAAAAAAAAGTGTGATGCAGAGAGCCAGACAGATTGACAAAGCCTACCTGTCAGAGGCAGCAGGGGTTCCAAGTACTTTATTAGTCTGGGCTACATTTATCTTGCCCTTGGCATGTGGCCTCTGGGAGGAAGAACCTTGTGCAATGAAGGAATGAACTATAATAGTAAGATTTAACAGCTATGCTGTCAGACTACTCTTAGAAAAAACTGGCCAAGTGATGATCCCTCCTAGGAAACTAAAGAAAGATTCAGTTCAGGAGCCTAGGAAGGGCAGGTAGTGATGGGCAGGGACAACAGGCTTAGGCTTAAGGTAGTAGAACCCCACAGAGAGTGCTAACAACCCATCCCCTACTGAGAGAACCCGTGGAGATACAGTTTTACAGCTATTAATATATATGTCATCTCTCAGTATTCTCTAGCACAGATATCGACATTACTGGAGAATAGTGGCCTTCCTGATATAAGGAGATGAAAATTGGAGCACTGACATAAAGATGTTGTGCCTCTCTACATATTGACAGATAAATCTCAAGGTATATTTGGTGGTACATACTCTATACCTAGCTCAGTCACAATAATATAACCTATTTTTTGAGATTTTATAAGGTTTCCAGTACTTTTCTAAGTGGTTTACATGAATTATCTACTGTAATACTCAAGACTAAATGTTCACACTTCTGTGTAGTTGGGATTATTCTCATTTTCTAGGTAAGAAACTTGAGATACAAAGAAGTGAAGTAATTTGCCTAAGATCACAAAATTGATAAAGGTGGAGATCTGGATGCAAACCTGGAAATTCTAAATCCATGGGTCATATTTTCATTCATAATACCACACTATTTTTATAATTAATCCATTATGATTTAACTGAAAGAGGAAATAAAACCTGTTTTCCTGCAACCACCACTTTTTGTCTCTGCAGGTTGTACAGAGCAAGTAAACATGGTCCATTTTTTCCAAGTTCCTTTTCTCGCTGCTGTTGACTATTATGTCTGCTTCTCCAATGTACCATGAATGTCACATCCCATTGCATAATTCAAATGGCCCAGGTA
This sequence comes from Homo sapiens, assembly GCF_000001405.40. Taxonomy (NCBI): domain Eukaryota; kingdom Metazoa; phylum Chordata; class Mammalia; order Primates; family Hominidae; genus Homo; species Homo sapiens. Next base: position 52,735,681 of record NC_000002.12, read on the forward strand.
GCCAGTTCATTAGTGGAAAAAGTAAAAATACCATTATCTCATATGAGGCATTTAAAGTTGTCCATCTTTAAATAGGGGACATCTTTAAAGAGTCCCCTATTTGCCCAGTGTCCATTATCATCCCAAGATATCTAGCAGATATGTTTAAGTCACAAATAAATGTCTTAATTGCTTTGACAAGACCTCTTGGGGACATGGAAGAGTATTGTCTCTTTTTGAGGTAATGTTCTTTTCAAACAGCAGTTGATTTAGGAAGCAGTAGGCTAGATACCTTTATTACACATCTTTCCTTAATACATAGACTGCTTGGCAATGGTCACTATTGCTACCATTGGAAAGTATAGAGTAGAGCCCAGCACCATGCATTTTGGGAAATGACAGAACTTTCAAACATAGCTCTCTCTGACACCATTTATCCAAAGCCTGAGGCCTTGCAGTGAGGCTATCCATCACCTCAAGTCCCATCCACCACACATGCCTTTGGTGAGGCCAGTTGCAGCCAGCTTTGCTATTTTTGTATAGTCAGTTTCCTCTGGACTCATAAAGACTACAACAGATAAACTTTTAGTTTTTACACCGTATTTAAGTCTTACTGGGAAAAGAAGTCAAGGAAGCTGTTTTCAGTTTGTCTCTTCCATTTCTCATGAGTTAGCATTAATGTCCATAACATATATAAATTTTTAGCCAAGGTGAGTTAGTAGAGTTCTGCCTACTACTTTATGTTAAAAATCACCTCTCACTGAATGGGTATATCAACCCTGTCTTGAAAGAAAATAGTGAACTCCCTCTTTACTTCTAACAGGACAAAATCATAATGTCAGTTTGCAATTCAGAGCTGGTTTTGCTGTTGTGTGCTGCCATATCCTTGACTGGCATTGATATATTAGAGAAAGAAGTTACTGAAGCCTTGTTTCAGGCACTTCTGTAGCCTTAGAATGTGAGCTGAATATAAGAATCAGGAAAAACCTCTCCAACAAAAGGTAATAAAAAATACGATTTGGTATTGTTTCACTTATGATCAGGCAAGGCAATAAGACTCTTGTACTCCATTCCTCCAAATCTTGTGTTAACTATTCCAAGTGTGTGTATTTTAGGTAAAAGGCTGTTTTCGTATTTTCTTTTAAAATGAACAGCTACCTGCAAGGAATGGAACACACAGAGATTTACATTTACCCAAAGGGGGAAGCTTTAAGTACAATAGCGAGGCTATAATCAGTAGAATGCAAATTGTGTACTCCAGGGACCAGAAGGCGTAACTGTAACACAAAGAGGTTTCCAAGTAAAGAAACAGAGCGGTTCATTTTCTAAGGTTTTCCGATAGTATTATGGCGAATTTGAAATAGCCTTTGATAGCACCAAATCCAGGTGGATGTCAAGTTGTAAATTATTAAAAAGGGTATTGGTACATTGCTTTAATTTTTAATATAGTGTTGCTATCCAGGAGGGGAAGATATAGTTCAGTATTGCTCTCAACAACACATTCCACTTTCCTTACTAAATTTACTCATTATATTTTATAGTATTTTGTTGGTGTTGTTTTCTCCTCTGTCTTTATTCTCCTGAAAAAAATTCATTTGGAATGAATGAATCTCATGGAGAAATTGAAATCCTTGTAATGAACATAGACTAGAAATTGTTTTTATTGCATGTGGTGCAAGATAGTCTATCTTAGATATATGACATGTGCTGAGTGACAAACAGTGTGCCAGGAGCTTTATATATATTTAATTTTTGCAACCCTACTAGGTAAACGTTATTACCACACCCATTTCATAGATTAGGACACTGAAGCATAGACCAATCAAATTACTCTTTCACACAGCTAGAAAATAAAAGAGCATGCATTATGACCTACAAAGTCTGGTGTCAGAGACTGCTTTTAACCAAGATGATATATAATTTATCATCCAAACTGAGATAATCTGGGATGTTAAAGGAGGCCCTATTCATAATTATGGTGGACTATAGGTGGAAGTTGAGATCATTCCAGGCAAATCAGGATATATGGTTACTTTACTCTTAATCTTCATTCTGTGCTGCCCCAAGTTTATTGCCATATTTACTATGTTGCCAGATAAGGCATATATGTAGGTTAACTGCAGCCCTGTAGTCAATATAGGCTTTTCATCATTTACAAAAGCAGTATATAGTCAATAAATGTTTTCATCGGTAATGAACCAATTTCTTAGTTTCCACTATAATGCAGAATATGAGCTGCTATTAAGCATGCCAGCTTAACTACATATTTTTAAGTGTCCCCAGCATCTCTGTTAGAGGAAATTAACTTCATTCCAGTTAACTTAGTAGAGATCTACTGCTGGGGAAATGAAGTCCAACTTCATAAATTCCTATGGCATAGTTGCCCATCACAATATAAAGCTAATGGTGACAAGTCAAAACAAATTAGGCAGCGTGAGCATTGTTACCCTTCTGTAACACAACATTGTTTCCAGAATGCAGATCAGGCTAAATGATCTTTAAGGTAACATCACAATATGTTCTTGATGAAAATACATCTAAAATATATTTCTAACTCATTGACTAGAGTTCCATTCCAACAGACTGATGGAGTTGTTACTGAGGACACTGAGGATTTAACTGAGAAAATCTCATTTACAGCGAATAAATAAACCTCTGCTGATACCTGCAGAATTCAGCTACTCAGAGTCAAAGCATTTCTCACAAATGGGAAATTTTCTTTAAAAGATACATATGAAACAGCCATACATCAAATTCAGGGTCATTATGTGTGCAAATTAGCTCTTGTAATAAATTAGCTTAAAAACTCTGAGCTTTAAACAAACCAGTTGCAATAAATGGGCACATGAAGGAGCTTTAAGACTAATCAAAATGTAGATTCTATATTAATTCACAGGAAAGCCCCTGAAAAAACCCATGTATGCATAATCATCCTTTACTTTGGGCTTAGATGTCAAGACCTACTATATGTCCTATATATCGTGCTATATATATCCTATATATCCTACTATACATATATATCTCTACTATATATCCTAGTTGAACTATAAGAGATTGTCATTCTAGTTACTTTGCCACTCAATGAGAGAAAGGGGGAGAAATTCACTATTTGCCTAAGCAATTATGTGGTACACAGTCTTTTAGTTAAAAGTTAGAATATTGATTGTCAGAAGATGTCAGCTAGAATGGTGGAGTAAAGATGTAGAAAAATCTGTATCATAAAATAAACATTAGTAAAAACTGTGAAAATTCACCAGAGATTGAGATATCCATAAGGTCCCTTCTAAAGCTCTGAAACCTAGTTGGGAATCTAGAAGGCCATGTACATAGGCAGAGCAATGTATGCTGAGGAAAGACCTAAGAAGGCCCTAAGATCCCAACACTGGCTGACCTCAAAAGCTGCGCAAGCAGGAAGTGAAAGCTATGGCAGAATTATCACTGCTTGCTGGAGCGCTGAACGCATGCCCCAAGCACCGTAGCTCCTATATAGCTCTCTTCTCTGCTTCCTTTATATTATTATTGTTACTAATCACAGCTATATAAATTATGCGCCTGTCAACACAGATTTATAACTGTTGCCTTCTGTAATTATCTTTTAAATCAGAAGAAGAGGGAATTATAGAGAAAAAAATTATATACACATATAGTCTTTTTTAGTCCAAATGAGATTGATATAAACTAGGTATTAATTGCAATCTTCTGGGCAATTGCCAAGAAAATAATTTTTTAAATAGAGCAAAAGAAACAACAAAGAAATTAAATGGTACACTAAAAACTACTTAAGAAAAATAAAAAGGAATACAGAAAAGCAAAATGTATAAGACAACAAATAGCAAAATGAAAGATATAAATCCTACTTTATTAATCATTACTTTAAATAGAAATGAATTAAATATTTTATTCAAAAAGGAGAGATTAGAAGATTTTTTAAAAAGCTGATCTGACTGTAAAACAATGGGAACTACATATCAAGCAAACAGCAAACAAAGAGAGCTGGACTAGCTATGATAATAACAGACAAAGAAACTTTAAGACAAGAAATATTACTAGAGAAAAAGAGACATTTCTTAATGAAAAAAGTGTCAATCAATCAAGAATATATAACAATTATAACATATATAGACCTCACAACAGAGCTTACAAATACACACAGCAATATCTGCCAGAATTTCAGGGAGAAAAATCTATTCAACAATAATAATTGGAGATGTCAATATCCCATATGTAAAATAGATAGAACACCTAGCCAGAAGATCATCAGCTTGAATAACAGTATAAACTAACTAGACTTAAGAGACCTCTACAAAACTCTCCATACAACAGCAGCAGAATACATGAATTCCCAAGTGCACAAGAAACATTATGGAAGATAGGCCATATATGATCCCATGAAATAAGCCTGAGTATATTTAAAATAATTGAAATAATACAGAGTATGTTCTTTGACCAAAATGGAAAGAGATAAGAAATCAATATCAGAGACGAATTTGGACAAGTCAAAAAATTGTGGAAATTAAGCAACAAATTCCTAACTAACCAATTAATCAAAGAGAAAATCACTAGGAAAGTTAAGGAACACTTTTAGATGAATGAATATAAAAAGACAATATACCACACTTATGAAATACTACTAAAAGATTCTTGCCCACATGGAGTTCTGATTGCAAAAGATAGAAACAGACAATAAGCATAATAAATGAATTATATTAAATAGTTATCTTAGAAGTCACTACTGTTGTAAAAACTGTCTTCTATTTGTGCCACAATTTTGTATCACAGTTAAGGACAATTCAAAACCATCACATTGTCTGGTTAGAGGAACAGACTTTTTTGGGAAAGGAAACACAAAACTTTGTCTGCAAAAGAAGAGAAGCACTGGTTCTGCAGCCTCCCTCCTGCAATCAGGCTGGGACAGACTATTCTGCTGGACATGCAAGATGCACCGTAATCCAGGGGAGAAAAATCCTTCCCCTTGGCAACCTCTTCTTTCATAGGCAAGTATGAGAAAAGCATCACTGTTAGTGGGGGAATACCCGGAACACTTTGGGCCAAGACATTCTGGCTTTTTGTGTCACCTGTTTAGAATTATTTTCTGGGAACCTAGAACCCTTGCCTGGTGTTGTACCCATGCTCCCAAACAATGGGGATTTATAGTCTGTCCATTCTCCTTTCCTCTATCTCCTATTTGACTGGGGGAACCCCTGAGCCATGGGAAACTGACAAGAGTAGAAAGTCCACGACTGGACCCTTCTAACTCATTGTTCAGGCAACGTGGTGAGTAATTAAATATTTCCAACCCAGTTTTGACTCAAGGGATTTAAGATGTTAACCACATCAATATCCTTCATTTCAATTTTATTGTTTTTATTAATACGCTATTATTTTTAGCCTATCTCAATGACTCTGAATATCATATTTTAAAATGAGAAAAATATGTAAAGGGGTGAACTATGGGACTAAGTAAACCTCCCTCCCATCCTGAAAGGAACGGATTGCCAGTGATGGCGACCACATACTGACAGGCTAAAAAGATTCCAGCCTCAGACTCTCACTCTCTCTGGAAACACAATTTTCATGGTACATTTAGCAAATGCTTTATTATAATTGAACGTCTATGAAACTACATATTATGCAAATAAATTAATTATCATTTGTAGCATTACAATGGCTAGTAAATCAATTCATAATTATATGACACTTAAAATAAATAGAATAACACTCTTTAAATTTCCCTGCTAAGTGCTAATGCATAATATTCTCAGTCACACAGCAATAAAATAGTAAAAGGAGAAGCAATACCGTACACTGAATCACGACTACCGAGCGTAAAATGAAGCCATGGTGACTGCAAGATTTGCTCTCTGTCCTTTTACATAAAAGCCTTTTGAATGCTCCAAATACCCTGAAGAAATACCTATAAATATATCAAATATACTTTTGTTCATAATCAGTAACAGACATCTGAGATCAGAACAGAGTATTTGTTGAAAATAAACCTTCTAAAAGTTCATCCTTTTCTGATCTGGAATATTGTTTTCAAGATAAATTCTGCATCAAGGGAATTGCTTTGCCACACAAGAATAATTGATAAGGTAAAACTTAAAAAAAATACAGTAATGGAAAACTCCTACCCTAAAGTTATACTTGCAAAACACACAGTTTGGACACAATACTGCTAGTGGTAACTCTCCTAAGCATTTCAATGGAGAAAGCCTCCCCAGGAATCAAAATGTAATACAACTCTCAAGACAGACAGATGAATCTGGAGCCTTGAAAGACAGTGAGCATAAAGCATAAGAAATCATTTCTTATTTTGTGTTCCTTAATTTTCTCATTGATATCTGAAGATCATGTAATCCAAAGACTGCTTGCAATCTGAATGTCCAGGGAAGCATTTGACTTATCCCAGAAGGCTGTGCATTTAAAGACCTTCAATAGGTAAAGGAGGAAACTTGGCTTATTTTATTTTATTGCTACAATGGAAATTGTGCACGTACATGTACACTAGGAGCAATGCTCTGAAGAGCAAATGGAATGTACAATGAGATGTGGCTTTGACATGCTTGGTTGGCAATGTTTTCTCCGTTCCATAGTAAATCACAAGAATGGCAGCAACATGCCGTCAGAATGTAAGATAAATAATAATTTTTCCAAGTCCCAGGCACTCTAAACCTGAAGACACCATGAGATGAAAACCAATTTAGAAGTAGCTTTATTTTGTGGAGTGTAACCAAAGAGCACAGTGCTAACCACAAGGATTATAGACTCTCCAAAATGCTTAACTGTGGCCTTGGAAAATTTATTTAAATCTTCCAATTATAAAATATGTGAAATTTGAAGATTTGAAAATTAACTGATTCACCTCTGATAAAAAGTTACAAACTTAAGATTGAATAATATTAAAATAATAGTAATCATTACCAATTTCTTAATGCACTACAATTGTGGTTAGAAATTTTGTTTATTGAAAGTCTGTGCCAAGTTCTGGGATGGTTGTTAAGAAAGATGTGAAGATGTATAGATTGCTCCCTGATAAAAAAAAAAACTTTAATAAGCTCTTATAAGACAAAATGGTAATTTAATGGCTTTGTAATGCGTCAAGATAATACCAAGATGAAGTTTAAAATGGGTTCATATACCAGAAGTACACATAGTATGTTTTCAATTTTGATTGCACCTGTTAGTGTGGAACATCTAAGTCTAACCCAATTATCTCCAAAGTGCCCAGGGCTTTTTTCTTTGCCTTCTCCTCTCATAGCCATCTCCTCTTCCATGTGATGTATATAATTTACCATTTCTCTTGTTGACTTTAGAGGTGCTCTTCTCTAAGGTCTTTGCTCCTGTGGCTAGGGAAAACACTTGAGAGTGACTCACCAGGACTTTGAGCATGGTTCTTACTGTGAGAATATGGGTTCCTGTGACAAAGTTTTCAAAAGCCACTCACTGGCATTGCCTACTGGGATCTCCATCCATGCCCCCAGACATGTTTCCTGTTAGAGCCTCCACCTGTAAACCAGAGGCATGCATGCATCCAAATTTTTCTAAGATCAATGCCAAGTTCTCTTCCAATTAAAAAAAATTGTTAAAAGACTGATAACCACTAATCTTCTAACAACACCATGATTTTCGGGGTCTTTATATAAACATGTTTTAAAATTTTACTCATAGATCTCTGTCTTTATAATGCAGATAATCTAAGTGACAGAAGTATTCATAATTATAGAATGTAAGAATTACAGGAGTGGATATATTTCATTATTCTGTACTTCTAAAGATCACAAGAGTTAAAATACTTAAGTGAAGAATGCTGCTAGTAGAGAATCATAGTTTTCGTTCTGTCACTGAAATATATCCTCAAATCCACCTTTGCTTCCTAGTGAACAGGTTTGCCTATCATGAAAATCATATATCAAATTAATATCATTTTCTTCATTTTGGACATACTAGAACATCATTTCTAAACAGCCATAAAAGTGAAAGAGAGCTGAATTTCTCTTCCAACTTCTTAAGGTGTACTGAAAGTGTTTCAACAGAAACTGTGATCAGTGATAACTATGATTCACAATACTCAGCAAGAATACTCTAAGACCCAAAAAAGGGTCAAAAATAAAATATTTCAGGAGTCTCAAGGTTGAAAGTTGTAACCATTTTTTTTTCATTGTTCAACTTCTACCTCCTGTTTCTACTGAGTATCCAATTATATTGTTAACATCCCATGGTGTAGGGATATATCCAAGGACATTTGATTAGTTTCATTTTTTTTCTTCTTAAAATGTAATACTCATAAAAATATTCATCTCTACTTATGGATTTGGAACACTTAATGCTGTGTTTTCTCCCCTATAGTATGTTGTGATGAACTAGAACTTCAATCCCAAATTAAACTGTGTATCAGAACAATTACATTACAGGATCATTCAAGGTGTTCATTTTTTCTGGATGATTCATATACAGCCATGAAGTGATATTGATATGTATCCAGTAGAAAGAAGGAGGAGAATAATGTTTTTCTAACACAATAATCCCAGGGTTAATGTAGCTTAGTGAATACTGTAAAACTCATTATAGAAAAATATGCTGTCTTCGTATGAAGCTAGATTGTATTTCCTTGCTACACAATCATTTTAGGGGTGAAGTGTGTTTGACTCTAGGAATTTAGCATAGGGTCTACTCAGTCTTGCTTGGAGTAGAAACTGAACTAGAATTAAAACACTCAGCACATTCACCATTTCTTGAGTAATCAGAATCCATTCCCATCTTTTTTAAAGAAGAACTTTCATGAATAATTATTTGAATTCTTAAATAACAAAGTTAGTGATATGGTGTGTCTGTGTCCTCACCCAAACCTCATCTTGAATTGTAGTTCCTGTAATCCCCGCATGTCATGGGAAGTAATTGAATCATAGCAGTGGGGTTTTTTCATGCTGTTCTCATGATAGAAAATAAATCTCAAGAGATCTGATGGTTTTATAAAGGGCAGTTCCCCTGCACATGCTCTCTTGCCTGCCACCATGTAAGAGAGGCCTTTGCTCCCCCTTTGCATTCCGCCATGACTAGGAGGCCTCCCCAGCCATGTGGAACTGTAAGTCCATTAAATCTCTTTTTCTTTATAAATTATCTAGCCTCACCTATTTCTTTATTAGCAGTGTGAGAATAGACTAATAAAGTAAACTGGTACCACAGAGAATGGAGTGCTGCTGTAAAGATATCAAAAATGTGGAAGTGACTCTGGAACTGGGTAACAGGCAGAAGTTGGAAGAGTTTGGAGGGCTCCACAGGAAACAGAGAGATGTAGAAAATTTGGAACTTCCTGGAGACTTGTTGAAAGGCTTTGACCAAAATGCTGATAGTTACATTGACAATAAGGTCCAGGCTGAGTTGGTCTCTGATGGAGATGAGGAACTTGCTTGGAACTGGAGTAAAGGTCACTCTTGCCATGCTTTAGCAAAGAGACTGGTGGCGTTTTGCCCCTGCCCTAGAGATCTGAGGAACTTTGAACTTGAGAGAGATGATTTAAGGTCTCTGGCAGAAGAAATCTCTAAGCAGCAAAGTATTCAAGAGGTGACTTTGGTGCTCTTAAAAGCATTCAGTTTTATTCATTTACAAAGATACAGTTTGGAATTGGAACTTATGTTTAAAACGGAAGCAGAGAATAAATATTTGGAAAATTGGCAAACTGATGATGCAATAGGAAAGAAAAATCCATTTTCTGAGGAGAAACTCAAGCCCACAGCAGAAATTTGCATAAATAATGAGGAGCTGAATGTTAATCACCAAGGCAATGGGACTAATTTCTCCCTGGCATGTCAGAGACCTTCACAGCAGCACCTCCCATCACAGGCCTTGAGGCCTAGGAGAAAAAAATGGTTTTGTGGGCTGTGCCCATGGCCTTTCTGCTGTGTGCAGCCTAGGGACTCGGTGCCTTGTGTCTCAACTGCTCCAGCTATGGCTAAAACGGACCAAGGTATGGCTTGGGCTGGGGCTTTAGAGTGTGCAAGCTTCATGTCTTGGCAGCTTCCACATTGTGTTGAGCCTGCGGTGCACAAAAGTTAAGAAATGAGGTTTGGGAACCTACACCTAGATTTCAGAGGATGTATGGAAACACCTGGATGTCCAGGCAAAAGGTTGCTGCAGGAATGGAGCCCTCATGTAGAACCTCTGTAAAGGCAGTGTGGAAGGAAAATGTAGGGTTGGAGGCCCACACAGAGTTCCCACTGGGCACTGCCTAGTGGAGCTGTGAGAAAGAGGGCCACTATCCTCCACACCACATAATGGTAGATCCATTGACAGCTTACACTGTGCACCTGGAAAAGCTGCAGACTCTACATGCCAGCCAATGAAAGCAGCCAGGAAGGCTGTACCCTGCAAAGCCACAGGGGCAGAGCTGCTCAAGACTATGAGAATCCACCTCTTGCATCAGTGTGACCTGAATGTGAGACATCAAGTCAATGGAGATCATTTTGTAACTTTAAGGCTTAATGATTGGCCTATCGATTTTTGGACTTGGATGTGGTCTGCAGCTCCTCTGTTTTTACTTCCATTTACAGGCATTGGGTAAATACACACATTTGGAGACGGTATACTAATTCAATGCTTATACCCCCATTGTATCTAGGAAGTAGCTAACTTGCTTTCAATTTTACAGGCTCATAGACAGAAGGAACTGGCCCTGTCTCAGATGAGACTTTGGACTTGGACTTTTGGGTTAATGCTGGAATGAGTTAAGACTTTAGGGGATTGTTGAGAAGGCATGATTGTGTTTTGAAATGTGAGGACATGAGATTTAGGAGGGGCCAGGGGAGAATGACATGGTTTGGCTGTGTCCCCACCCAAATCTCATCTTGAATCATAGTTTCCATAATCCCCATGTATCATGGAGGGACCCAGTGGGATGTAACTGAGTCATGGGGTCAGGTTTTTGTCATGCTGTTCTCATGATAGTGAACAAATCTCAAGTGAACTGATGGTTTTATAAAGGGCAGTTCCCCTGCACACATTCTCTTGCTTGCTGCCATGTAAGACAGGCCTTTGCTCCTCCTTTGCCTTCCACCATGATTGTGAGGCTTACCAGCCATGTGGAACTGTAAGTCCATTAAACCTCTTTTTCTTTATAAATTACCCAGTCTTGGGTATTTCTTCATAGCAATATGAAAATGGACCAATACAGCTGGCAAAATGAAAATGACCAAGGATCATGGGCTAATTATTGTGTGGAAAAAGGCAGAGTTTCCCAGGGGAGGGGGACACTAGCTTTTTGTGTAGAAGGGCACAGGGTTTATGAGAAAATTTAAAAGATAAAAAGATGAAATATGATTGAGAATATTGAGTGACAGAGCAGGGGATGTTCACATGAGGGACACTGAGGTCTTGTCATTCATTGTAAAATATATATGAGCAAGTCAGTTGGACAAAGCCATAGGAGTCCCAGGGTATACCATGCTGTTTGTTGCTTTGGGATGTTTAGTTGGATCTTGTGTACAATCCAGAAAAGTTAGGTGTGACCATTTTTAGAAAGTTTGGGAATCTGCCTTCTGACGTTCAGGAGGCATATTGGGCAGAGATGAGCCTTACAACGTCTCTAGCCTTCCTATGATAGAATATTGGATGAAGAGGTCAAAGAACCAGCAGGCAATGGTTGGCGCATGATAGTGAGATTGATTGGAACGTCAGCTCTTTTCATCTCTCCCTAGTAGCGTACTGAGGGACACCATTTATATTCCTGAAGAAAGGTTTTTCTGGCACTGGGTTACCATGGGGAAGGATAATTTTCAAGGTTGGGGAAACATCATTCAAACTTACATCTCAGTAAAGGCTTGTGAAGGTATTTTTATGTTTTTTAAAAGTTAGTATTGTAAAAGATTATGGCCTTTTTGAGAACATGTTCTAGGGAATTGTGTCCAAATTGTGTCCAGGAAAATCTGAGATAAGAGGCTAAAGAGGCTCACAAAGAGGAAAACTGGATTTAAAAGAGTAGCCTCAAAAGGCAGAAGTTCAGAGGGCTAAAAACCAAGAATTTGTAGAGGACAAGGAACCACCTGTGTTTAGTAACCTAGTCACCTTCATGAGCAATGGTAGAAGTTGGCAAGATGCCTAAAAAGAACAAGTAAAAAAGATCATATCTATGAAATAAAACGAGAGTTTCTGCACTCACAAGTATTGTTCCATTACCTTGATTCCCATAGCAAAGTAATTTATGTGTATTGTATCGAATCAAAGTCATACACCAAGACAATTTTGTTTATTTGGTCTATGGTTTCTCATATCTGATAATATTTTTAAATTTTAACTATTAAAAAAGTAATTAAAAGTTAGTTTAGAAATGTATGGACAAAGACCAAAAGACAAAAAAAAAGCTCCACTGTTTTGAGTGATAAGATGAAATCAACTTTGCAAATGGTAGCACCATGCTCTCTAACCCTAGAGCCCAAGGATATTAGCATCATGGTAAAGTGCAAGAATCATGGGCGTACAAGTCAATCTGACACGAATTCAAAGCTCATTCTAGTTTTATTAGTAATGAGCAAGTTACCTCATTTCTTTGTCTTAATATTTACTTCTATAATTAAAATGGTTTGGTTCCGTGTCCCCACCCAAATCTCATCTTGAACTGTAATCCCCACGTGTCAAGGGATGGGCCTGGTGGAAGATGATTTAATCATGGAGGAAGGCTTCCCCCTTGCTGTTTTCAAGATAGTAAGTTATTATGAGATCTGTTGGTTAAAAGTGTGCAGCAATTCCCCTTTCTCTGTCCTTTCTCTCTCTCTTTCTCTCTCCTGCCACCATGTGAAGAAGGTCCTTGCTTCCCCTTCCACCAAGATTGTAAGTTTCCTGAGGCCTCCTATACATGCTTCCTATTAAGCCTGCAGAACTGTGAGTCAATTAAATCTCTTTTCTTCAAAAATTACCCAGTCTCAGGTAGTTCTTCATAGCAATGTGAGAATGGATTGATACAATAATATAGGAAAAATTTGTTATTTTATATTACTGTAAGCCCAAGACTTGCACCTGTTGGTGTTTAATAATAGGTTATTTTGTTTTTTTTTCTCTCCAGTAAGAATAGCTTGTTAGATAAACTTCTGATGTTTTCCTTCATTTCTTTACAGTTTCAGACAAGAGCACTACTGTTCGTTCTGACTTGTAACCTAGAAGACAGATGTAAATGCTAAAACCTGTGGGTAACTGGTTACTTGACAGTCATTCATGAGGGATAGTCACTGTCTACGTTTGTTCCTCCAGATGAATAGAATACAGTTGGCCCTTCATTTCTCAGGTTCTATATCTGTGGATTCAACCAACCACAGATCAAAAATATTTGGAGAAAAAGTAAGAAGTAACAATACAACAATTTAAAAATATACAAATAAAAACCAATACAAAATAACTATTTACATAGCATTTACATTGTCTTAGTTATTATACATAACCTAGAGATGATTTAAAGAATACAGGAGGATATGCATAGGTCATACACAAATACTATACAATTTTATATGAGGGACTGGAGCATCTCCAGATTTGTGTATTCTCCGGGGGCCTGCAACCAATCCCCTATGACCACTGAGGGACAAGTATACTTAATGAACAAATATTGCCAAGATTCTGTCTCAGTTGAACTCAAAAGCCCTTGAATATACTCTCACTGTTTAACTTAGAGACCCCATTCATCCATTCTTGCTGTCTAGAGCCATTTAAAATGATTATGTTTTTTGTTGGTTTTATGTGTTAATTCCCCTGGGAAGAAATGTAACACGACTAACTCCTGTTACTTTGATAATGATGGTTAGCATTCATTTCCCAACTAGCCACTGGAAGTGGTCAAAAGAAATCAAGTAAACCACACAGTGAATATATTCAGGGCAAGTTGTCCTTTCCACAGATGGACATGGACCTATCAGTACAATAAACTTGCTGCTTAATGCAAGATAAATAAGTACATAAAGTGCTATAAATAATTAAGCATGCATGATGATATTTCAGAGAAAAATGCACAGTATCTAGGAAACCTGAGAATATTCTCTCCTCCAGGGAGAAACCCTGATTAGGAGCTGATACTCTAACTAAAATTCATTCAAATGTGTCCTTCCTTTTTCTTTTATTTCTGCTACTTTTTGCCTGGAAAATTAGTGAAAGCACCTCACAGTAGGAGAATAACGGATCCCCATGGATATCTACACCTTAATTTCTGGAACCATTAAGCACGTTACATTCCATAGAAAGGGAGAATTGAGGTTGCTGATGGGAGAAAAGATTGCCAGTCATTTCAACTCAACATAAGGAGCTTATCCAAGATGATCAGGAGTAGGAGGAGAGTGACGTAATAATAAAGATCCTAAATTTAGAAGAAGGAATCAGAAGAGGAGATAAGAGTGATGTGATGTGAGATGAAATTGACTTTCTGGCTTCAGAAATGGAATAATGGGACCATGATTCAGGGACTGTGGGCAGGCTCTAAAAGCTGAAAAAGGCATAGAAATAGATTATCCCTTAGAGCATTCAGAAAGGCACTCAACTCTACCAGCAAATTTTAAATACTGAGACCTATTTCAGACTTTGGAACTACAAAGCTGTAACAATAAATCTGTGTTAGTTTAAGCCACTGTTGTTGTATTACTGTAGCCATAGAAAATTGACATACCCCTAGATAAGGATTTTCACTTTTGTTCACTTATAGGTAAGTTGGCTTTTCCATTCAGGGCTGAGAAATTTGTATGGAGAGTTCAAAACTGGATACCAGTCAGAGATATTTTTCTATACTCTACCAAACCTGTGGAAATTGCAAACATGTGTCTAATTGACTGACATTTTAAAATTTTCAGACCTTGTTTTTTATACAGTGTAAATTAGTACTTTCTATATGTTCACTTATCCCACTATTATTATTATTTACTAGGAGTTATTATTTTTTTAAATATACAACTTTTGTAATTTTTATCGCCCTTTGGTGGTGTTTTGACATTTCTGTTACTTTCACAGATGCAGAGGGGTGCTGAGGAGAATTAAGATCTGTCCCTCCACCCTGAGCAGAAACCTCAAGAGTGAAACAGAAAAGTGGATTTAGGTCACTAAAATATATTTCCACAGTATCCCTTCTGCTCCTCTCCCTCTTTTTACCTGTTCTAGCTCTTTCTTCTAGTTCAGGCTAGTAGTGGGAACAAAACTCCATCTCTTCCTGGTGCCTAGATGTAATTGGAGGGTGAGTTAATGGAGTCTGGGGAAAAGAAAAAATGGTGAGCCTAGAGGAGTGGATAAAAATTGGCTTGACTTTTTAAATTGAGGGGATAAAAAAACAGCTGCCTGTGTGTGAACATGTGTGTGTGCATGAGAGAGAGAGAATGCATTCTCCTCACCTAGGTGACAGATTACACTGGAACCACTATCACAGATCAAATGAAGTTGGAACCCTTTAACAACTCAGGCACTGAGAAAATACCAGGCAGAACAGAAGCCCAAGATATGAGACACAGAATGCTTTTAAATTTCAGGAAGTCTTATGCTGACTTTTTGCACTAAAAGACACTAATGAAATTCTTTTTTAAAAAAATATTTCTATTTTAAGTTCAGGGGTACAAGTGCAGGTTTGTTACATAGGTAAGCTTGTGTCATGGGGGTTTGTTGTACAGATTATTTCATCACACAGGCATTAAGCCGAGTATCCATTTGTTATTTTTTCCTGATCCTCTCCCTCCTTCCACTCTCCACCCTCTGAAGGGCCCCTGTGTGTGTTGCTTCCCTGTATGTATCCACCTGTTCTCATAATTTAGCTCCCACTTACAAGTGAGAACATGTGGCATTTGGTTTTGTTTCTGTGTTAATTTGCTAAGGATAATGGCATCCAGCTCCATCCATGTCCCTGCAAAGGACATGATCTCATTTCTTTTTATGGCTGCATAGTATTCCATGTTTTATATGTATATATATATGTGTATATATAGCCTTTGTAAATAAGCAATATAAGATATATATATAAATATATATAATGTGGAATACTATATAAAATGCTGTGTGTGTGTGTGTGTATATATATATATATATATATATATATAACATTTTCCCTATCCAGTCTATCATTGATGGGCATTTAGGTTGATTCCATGTCTTTGCTATTGTGAATAGGGCTGCAATAAACATGTGTTCATGTGTCTTTATAATACAATAGTTTATATTCCTTTGAGTATATGCCCAGTAATGGGACTGCTGGGTTGAATAGTATTTCTGTCTTCAGGTCTTTGAGGAATCACTACACTGTCTTTCACAATAGCTGAACTAATTTACATTTCCACCAACAGTGTTTAAATAAGTGTACCCTTTTCTCCACAATCTTGCCACCATCTGTTATTTTTTTACTTTTTAATAAAAGCCATTCTGATTGGTGTTAGATGGTATTTCATTGTGGTTTTGATTTGCATTTCTCTAATGATCAGTGATTCTGAGCTTTCATTCATATGATTGCTGGCTGCATGTATGTCTTTTTTTTTAAACTGTTCATGTCTTTGCCCACTTTTTTTATGGGGTTGTTTGCTTTTTTCTTGTAAATTTGTGTAGGTTCCTTACAGATGCTAGATAACTAAGGAAATTCTGTAGTTCTCAACCCAACTGAGAAACCAAAACTGAGCTGAAGATACTCCTTGATCCTCTAAAATTACTGATCCTCTCTGCTCTCTCCAGTCAGAAAAAAAGAGATGTCTGCAGTAAAACACTCTTGAACACACACACACGCACACACACACACACACACACGTTATACACTTTGTTTTATTGACTCTTCTGCCTGCATTAGTTTTTTGTGACATTTACTCAATCTCTTTTTCTATGTTAAAAAAAAGGCATGAAGAAGTAACTATAAGAGCTATTTTACTAAAACATTTCCAAGTGATTGGGCCTTGTAAGTAGTGTAAGATAAAACTTGAAGAAGGCATTCTCTACAGAAAAGCCAAAGAAGTTTTTTGACCTCTTTTAAAAAGTTAAAACTAAATCCATTACTGCCATGCCTAAAATCCCCCGGTGGCTTCCTACCATTCTTAGAATAACAGTCTAAACCCTTGCCGTATCCTGGATGCGTGGCCTTGCCTGTAATGCTTCTTCTGCCTACCTTCTCATTCCCATTTTATACCCTAGGGACACTGCTTCCTTCTGTTTCTCAGACTTGCCAGGCACATTTAATCCCTTAAGGCTCTGCACATACTTCTTCTGCTTGGAATCTTCTTCCTTCAGATTATTCACATCCCTCTGACCTCAGATTAAAGGGCTTTTTTTTCTGAGAGGCTTTCTCATTGTCCTTATCTAAAGTGATCCACCTCAGCTATTCTGCTCATTGCTCAGTGAACTTCAAGGCATTCAACACAATCAATAATTAATGTGTATAATATGCATTTTCACATTCCATTATCTTTGTTTCTCATTAGGATATTGCCTCCCCGAGATCAAAGATCTCATCCTTTTATTTACCACTGTGTCTGCAGTGCCTAGAATAAAGCTTGGCACATAGTATAAACAAACTCAATATTTGTTGGTTTAATGGAGCTTCCCTAAATTCTGCAATGTTTCTGGTACTGAATTCAATTTACCCCAGGATGTATGCAGGTTGCAGAATTTTAGAATTAGAAGGCCTTTGCAAATCAGCCTTATTTCAGTAGAGATGAGACTGAGACTCGATGTAGACAAGAGCTTTGATTAAAGCTGTCTACATAACAACTACATAGTTATCCCTGAGCCTGCAGTGCTACTCCAACCATATTATCAAAGAAAATAAGCCCCCATGGACTTTTACTCAGTTTAATAGTCTGGTCAGTGTATTATTATTATTATTATTATTTTATTAATCTTACATTACTTATTTACAAAGACTAAGCATGTTTTCAACATTTATCACCTAGATCAAAAATCAGTCTTGGGCCTGTATTCCTCCCAGAAATTGAAGAACTTTTTCTCAGTTAGTATCAACAATTAGTTAAGGAGGTCACATGTCTATTTTTGTCACCTTTGGAGAACTATCCAATAAACCACCACAGATTCCCACAGCAACTATGAAACAACAGAAACCTAGCTCTTTTCATAGGGCATGCATATCTACTATTCTCTACAAATTTTCTACATTTCTTATGTAGAACAAGGGTTATATAAAAGGGTTCTATGTGTACAAAGCGTATAATTCTGGGTGCAGGGACAGAGGATGGAGTTGTCATCACTCAAATGTAGTTATGGTTGCCATAAACACTCAAAGTTAGACATATTTATCATCTGTAGACATAGGACTAAGCCATTCAGTTGAATTCCTAACTTTTCTTAGGAATCCTGCTGGGAAAGAATAAATGAAAATGTCTTATGCTATCAATATGTATTTTATTCCATATTATTTATGGTTAAAATAATAGATGGTACAAAAATTAGAATTAAACCACATCAACATTACTGTATCACTAACACATTTAAGTCAAATATACCTTTAATTTTTCAACAATCTTCTCTCTTCCCTCTGTTTTTAGAATTTATCATTTTTTAAACTTTTAAATTATACTTTCATAATGTATTTCTCAGCTCACGACACTAGGAGGGATTTTGTTTATACTGACATCCAACAGGGAAAATACTATTATACAATCAAATATTTTATTGAAATTAAATTTAATCACTTTCTTCATCAAAATAACTATTTACTGCATAATGTAATTTCACTAATGCCATATCCAGCTGCATTATAAGACAAGCACAAATCAACAAAATTCCATCTAATTTGTGCAAATTAAAATAATTCTTGAGAAAATATTGAAATACTTAAAGCTACAAAAACACCATTAAGTTTGTTTTAGAAACTTACTGTTTCAGCAGAAAAAAAATGTCTAGAGATCAATTCACTCATCTGTTTTCCTCTAGGTAGAGTTCTAGAAAACACAATGTCCACCATCAAAATTTAAGAAACATGCCTGGAAACTTAAGGACAAGACACAGGAAAGGAAGTCTGCTATCTTACCCAGTAGCCCACTAGAATAGCAAAGCCTCTGATTTTTAACTACACAGCCTCTCATTAAGGCCATGACTGCTGATTATTTTTAAAAGCTTCCCATTTCTAACACTACATCAAACTTGAAACAAGAAATAGGTAGAGAGTTCTAAAACTCTGACTGCTGATTATTTTTCAAAGCTTCCCATTTCTAACATTTCATCAAACTTGAAATCAGAGATAGGTAGAGAGTTCGAAAACTTCACGTTAGAATAAAATAAGGGAGAGACTGAGTCACATGTGCTGTTGAGAAATAAAACTACCAACTGATTTCTGAAAGAGAGATAGATTTCACATAGTAAAGTGAGAAATTAACGAATCTAAAGAGAAAAAGCAAATAAAGTACAGATGAGTTCTATGCACTTGGCTGGTACCAGCCCAACAGCTGGTGTTCTAACCCACAGTTTGATATTCTATAAAACTGTCTCCACATGAATAAATATACTCAGTGACAGTCTTTCATATAGAGCAGGTTTTGGAGAGGAATGAGCAATTAAGAGTACCAGTTAGTCATTGTCAAAAAATAGCTGATAGCCTTTTACATATACACATATTAAATGCACAAAGTGGCAAATAATTTTACTTTTTGTTGTTTTGATTTTAATTTGTGGAACATGTTACATTAATGATAGATACAAAATGTAAAAAAGGGAACTATTCATGGCTTCCAATCTGTTTCTAGAACTTTAGAAAGGAAACAAGTCAGGGTAGACTATTATATTATTGAGACCGCTCAGAAAACCAAGCACCAAATAATTAAACCAAGCCCTGTTGATAACTGCTGCATAAGTACAGATTTTATAGATTAAGATATTCATGTCTGTGGCAACATCTTTATTCAGGTCATAGAGAAAATCCTGCACTGCCACCTTGCACTGCCATCCTCAACCTGAAAGACTAATGGCAAGATTCTAGTCCTTCTCTTGATCATCACAGTAACACTTTGACGTCTGTCTCCAATTAATCATAAGGTATTCTGTTTTGACTCATCTATCCATAACACAGCACATTGCCTGAGATAAACATTTGGCCACAGTGTTATCACAAGGAGGGTGTACTAGATTCATGTACACATAAACCTGTGCCCTTTCCAACCTATTTCTAATAAGAATAATGATGATAATACAAGATAGAGAATAATTATTGACATTCCTTATAAGACAAGGCATGAAAAAATGCATGAAAAGCTCAATGCTGAATTTCCACTTTAATGTAGATTCTATAGTTCTGGAAGAAATTTGGCTATCCAAATGAGATGAAAAGAATGATCTGCACTGGAAGAGATCTGAAAACATGGAAAATGTAGTGGTTCCAAGTATATTTTCAACTGCTACCTCACCATCACTCAACTTCAATATGAAAAAGTTAGTGGGGAAATGTGGTTCCAGCCATTGGTTCATGAATAGAATAGAAGAATAAAACCAATTTTATATCTCCTAGAAAAAAATTAAGAGGCTTCTAGTCAAGAGCATTTATTGGTATAAGGTTGCATGCGTGGAGCTGGATTTCAGGAACTGATTATGGGTCCTTCTCTTCTCTGGAGGCTTTTTACCTTCAATTCTTCACTTCCTACCTCAAAAATGCTAGCTCTCAATAGTTTGGTATCAGAGAGTCTCATTTATTAGCTTAGATTCCTATTTCCCCTCATTTTTCTTTTTATTGAATCCTTCTTTCTAAAGAAATCCATTTATTGTTATTCCTGTAATTCAATGGAATCTGTAAGATGTTCTTCAGGATACATATTTTCTCAAGGAGGCAGAAATGGATTTAAATGTGACACAAACCATTAGGCATTCTGGTGAATAATTATGCTCCCTGTGTGGTCAGTTTTGTCAACATGCAGCTCAAAATGACAGTGCCAAAGAAATGTATTGTTTTCATAGACACTGATTTAAAATTAGTGAAGTGATCATTTCATTTATACCTGAAAGCCTGAAAAATGTCTTCCCTGTATGTGATTTTTAATAAATTCAAACACTCTATGCCATCGTCCTTTTCTTCCTAAAGCAAAAATTTCTAAAAGAAAAGGAACTTCTTTCCTCTATCTCTTTGTGATATCTTTCTCTTTTGAATTCCAGTATCACTTGCCTCTTGAGCCAATTAGCCCTGAGCATACACTGTTTTACATAGTTTACCTTTTTCTTACTGTCCTTATTTTACTTTTTCAATTAAATTGTTAATTGCTTGGGCTGGGCACGGTGGCTTACACCTGTAATCCCAACACTTTGGGAAGCCGAGGCAGGCGGATTGCCTGAGCTCAGGAGTCCGAGACCAGCCTGGGCAACATAGTAAAACCCCGTCTCTTCTAAAATACAAAAAATTAGCCGGGCTTGGTGGCAGGTGCCTGTAGTCCCAGCTACTCGGGAGGCTGAGGCAGGAGAATTTCTTGAACCCAGGAGGCAGAGGTTGCAGTAAGCCGAGATCACGCCACCGCACTCCAGCCTGGGACAGAGCGAGACTCCGTCTCCAAAAAAAAAGGATTGCTTGCTTGATGGTGGAGAGTTCATGTATTTCTCACAGCATCTTTCAGTATTAACTGAATAACTTTATTTATAAATGTTTATCAATTAATAGATTTATTAGTTGGTTTATGCCACTAAACTATTGTCTTACTCCTCTTCCAACTAAGACTAGATTCTCTTTGTGGTTGTGTCTTCTCCATTACAGCGTTTTACAAAAAATCAATATGTGTAATATGGGTTTCTCCTCCCTCAATTACAATCCTGCACTCTTATAGTAGACACAATCCTATAAATATAATTGGCTAGAGTCAATGTTTTATTTTTAATATAAGATAATTTTTAAATAAATAATAAACTTTGTATATAATGATACTTTAAAATATATTAAAAGTATCTTAATATAATATCCATATTATCATGTGAAAAAGAACATGAATACTTTACCGATATTAAACTTCAATGTTGGTATGTTCTTGTGATAATTTATACTCCTGATTCTGTCTTTATTACACTAGAATAAAAGAGTATTTTTGCAATAGAGATTATCTCCGAGAATCTGTGAGCTGGCATGTTTTACAGAGGAAAAATGATGAAAAAAAATGGTTCAATAATAGTCTCAATGGCAGAAGCATCTTCTTGAACACTCAGAAGGAGTTCAGGTATGACAGGGGCAACAAGGAAATACAGTAACAGTATTATATTACATTAGTATAAACAATAAAGTGGGTTGATCTTGTATCTAGAATAAGTGGGAAGAGGCTAACAGTAATTGAGGAAATGATCTAATTAAAATAGGGTTTCTGTAAAGAAGTAGAATTTCTTTAATTAAACAATAGACTGACACGTTGGACAAACTGCATTAGAGTATAGCTTGTGTTTCATCATTTTGGCAACCTATTGTGACAAAAAATAAGAATGCAGAGCACTAATCTGGCTTATAACATTCTGAGAAAGAGGTTCTAGAATAGAGTTCTGAAATAATTCCACATAGTTTTATCTCTGTCATTCATTTCCCATTGATTCTATGTAGGCCACATTAGTTCAAAAGCATTTCACTAAAACATAGTACTCTTCCCCTTTCCCCTGCTCAAAGTAAAATCCAATCTAAGAATTACTGGTGTCACTCTAGAGATTGAGAGCCAGAGACTCATATTCTACCACTTACTAAAGCAAAATCTCCATGGGGATGGTGAAGAGGGAGAAAACGCTTGTCTTATTATTTGTACTTCCATCCTCCCTCTCAAGGAATCTAGCACTTCTTGGTGCCCATTAAATTGTAGGTGTATAAAGTAAGACATTAATAATTGATTTCAAAAAAATAAATTTTCTTCCGGGTATTAAACATAAGCTTAACTAGAACAGTAAATATCAGACAAGGTAGGAAGGCTAATTTTTAATCTTCTGTTTCCTTTTTTGAGAAGGGATCAAAGAAAAGATCCAAAACAATTAGAAGTACTGTACTAGAAGTTTTATGATTATCTTTACTCTGAGATTCTATAAGGTATGTTTTTCAAGGTAATTGCTACCCATAATTCTGAGAAATAAATTCACACCTTGCTCACAGATTGTGGAGTCCAATTGCCAAATAAGCCCAATGTTTGCCCCCACTTGGGCTTGATCAACAATATGACAAGTAGGAAACTGCCCAAAGTTTTGGGCTCTCTTTAAATGACATCATTGTCCTGAAATCACCACATCTGCTGTCACTGATTAAGTGACCTCTAAAGTTGTGAATTTTGTCTCCAGATCATTCTTAATTCAATAAACACCAATTGAACTTCTACTATATTCTAACACGTTGTAAGAAATAGTAGGAATTTCAAAGGTAAACAGGACATGAATAAGTCAAAATCCAGTGAAAAAGACACACATACATACAGCAACATGTAACATAGTGTGATTGGTTTTCTAGATTAACTGTTTCACAGTTTGGTCCTCAAGAGAATAAAATACCAGCTGGCACTAATTCAATGACCAAGGCAGGGCTGAGGGTGAGGGCAGCATTTTAGCATCAACTGGCCAGGCATGATAGAAGGAGACAAACTCATAGGCAAGTCCATTGTAAAAAGGAACTGCTGAAATAATCTGAAAAATTTATAGTTTCAGCTACAATTTTGCATGCTCTTATTCTTTTTGAATCCAAACTGCTGAAAGTGGTGAAATTTTTTTAAAAAAGTAAAACTTAAAAAAAATATTTTGGAGGGTCATGTCATGCCCTCAGCATTCAAATAATCAAAGTTTGTTTTGGGTCCTGAGGGAGACAGCTTCAAGTATCCTGCATAATTTAAGGAGATTCTGTTTCTTTGGTCTGCTTATGGGAGTCCTAAAAAATGTATTTTAAAGACAAAGGTAAAAATTGGAGCAGAAATATTAGCTCTCTTTCTATTTGTAATGCCCTGAGGTTTGAGAACAGCTCATATTTGTATGAACCCATGTCAGTGTCTATCATTTTAATGGTGACTAAATAAAGAGCGGTTTTTAAATTTTTCGAAAGTAGATAGGTCTTTCATTGACAGAGACAGATCTCTGTTGTATTTCATTTTCAACTCAGAGGCAAAGAAATAAGATGGCAGGATATAGTGAATGAAACAAAAACTATTGGTTGTTAATAAAATAAGCAGTAATACCATTCAGGACATAGGCATGGGCAAGGACTTCATGTCTAAAACACCAAAAGCAATGGCAACAAAAGCCAAAATTGACAAATGGGATCTAATTAAACTAAAGAACTTCTGCACAGCAAAAGAAACTACCATCAGAGTGAACAGGCAACCTACAGAATGGGAGAAAATTTTTACAATCTACTCATCTGACAAAGGGCTAATATCCAGAATCTACAATGAACTCAAACAAATTTACAAGAAAAAAACAACCCCATCAACAAGTGGGTGAAGGATATGAACAGACACTTCTGAAAAGAAGACATTTATGCAGCCAAAAAACACATGAAAAAATGCTCACCATCACTGGCCATCAGAGAAATGCAAATCAAAACCACAATGAGATACCATCTCACACCAGTTAGAATGGTGATCATTAAAAAGTCAGGAAACAACAGGTGCTGGAGAGGATGTGGAGAAATAGGAACACTTTTACACTGTTGGTGGGAATGTAAACTAGTTCAACCCTTGTGGAAGCCAGTGTGGTGATTCCTCAGGGATCTAGAACTAGAAATACCATTTGACCCGGCCATCCCATTAGTGGGTATATACCCAAAGGATTATAAATCATGCTGCTATAAAGACACATGCACACATATGTTTATTGCGGCAGTATTCACAGTAGCAAAGACTTGTAACCAACCTAAATGTCCAACAACTATAGACTGGATTAAGAAAACGTGGCACATACACACCATGGAATACTATGCATCCAAAAAAAATGATGAGTTCATGTCCTTTGCAGGGACATGGATGAAGCTGGAAACCATCATTCCCAGCAAACTATTGCAAGGACAAAAAACCAAACACCGCATGTTCTCACTCATAGGTGGGAGCTGAACAATGAGAACACATGGACACAGGAAGGGGAACATCACACCCCGGGGCCTGTTGTGGGGTAGGGGTAGGGGGAGGGTTAGCATTAGGAGGTATACTTAATGTTAAATGATGAGTTAATGGGTGCAGCACACCAACATGGCACATATATACACATGTAACAAACCTGCACATTGTGCACATGTACCCTAAAACTTAAAGTATAATAAAAAATAATTAAAAAATAAAATAAAATAAGCAATAATGGAAATTAATGGACAATTTAAACTATCTAAAGAAAATACATGTAATGTGATCTTAAAGAGCGATGCTATTTTGATACGTTGAGCATTACTTAGTTTTAATAGTTGATTTGTAAGGTTTATTTTAAGTGTGCTTGGATCATAATAATCCCAGATACTTAGAATTTAATGCCACTTGGACTTCATGACCAATCTCAAAGTGACTGTGACAGAAGGGAATACTACATAGAAACTTTGGCATGTCCTAAAAGACAATCACTGGAATGGCCTTGAGTATTTTAAAACAAAGTTATGCCTTTTTCTTCAAACAACTATTTGCTTTCAAGAAATAGCTCCTTGCTTAGAACTGAGGTAATACAGCACAGGGAGGTGTTAAGAATGCAGTCTTTGGAGGCAGACTGAGTTTGAATCTTATGATACTCTCTTATTAGCTGTAAGACAATGGACAGGACACTTGAACTACCTGTACCACATTTCCTTTCTGAAAAACAGGGGCAATAATAGTACTTACTTCATAGTTTCATTGTGATGATTACAGAAATTAATGTGCATAAAATGTTTATGAAAGTGTCTGACATATAGTCAATACCTCATTCATATTTTCTATCATCATTACAACTCGATCCTGGTGGAAATGAAATGGCTGCCCTTGGAAAAACTAATAATTATGCAACCTGAGCTACTGTTGTAGGACTCTTTTCTTAGTTCAGCTAAAGACAGGGATCCTTGGCCAGTGTGGTGGTTCACACCTGTAATCTCAGCAATTTGGGAGGCCAAAGCGGGTGGATCGCCTAAGGTCAGGAGTTTGAGACCAGCCTGACCAACATGGTGAAACCCTGTCTCTACTAAAAATACACAAACTAGTCGGGTGCAGTTGCTAGTGCCTGTAATCCTAGCTACTAAGGAGGCTAAGGCAAGATAGTCATTTGAACCCTGGAGGGGGAGGTTGCAGTGAGCCAAGATCGCACCATTGGCTTCTAGCTTGGGCAACAAGAGTGAAACTCCATCTCAAGCTCACAGACAATTAGAAGGGTAAGGAGGGAGGGTAGGGTTTATTGGGTGAAAAGGAAAACAGGGACTGGCCAGAGAGAGTCTTGTTAGTGTGCTTCCTGCCTTGCAGATTGAATCCCAGGTTTCACCCAGGAAGAGGAGGGGCCAGGCTCCTCCTCGCTCCAAATGGCACACACTTCTGTGGCTTCACCCCAGTGTGTACTCCTCTCAGTGCGCAGGCCCGTTGAGGTTTTTCCAGGGACCCCTTCCTACCTGGCTGTCTCACTACCTGACATAAATTGGATGCTATCTGGTCTGCCAAATGCTAAAGCCTATTCAATGGCATACCATTATCAAGTGGCTGTGTTACATACACAATCAGGCTGAATTAAGACCTAAAGAAGTCGCCCGCAAGTGTTGTGAATGGGTGGTTAAGACTTCCAGTGCACCTACGCTTGCTGCATTGCCACTTATTTCTCTACTCTTCATGAGATGCTCCCCCAGAACCAGTGAACAAGGAAGAGCATATTTCAACCTGGTTTAGAGACGACTCCTCATGATATTCTGGCCCCAGCTACAAGTGGAGGGCTACAATGCATCTCATTGTCCTCTTTGTCAAAGGTTTGTCAGGGACTTGGAAATTCTGAAATTGAAGACTTGAGAAAAGGAGAATATTGGAAAGAATCTTGTGGATGAGCCTCGTAGAATGAGAACGGAGTGTAAGAACGTCTACATCCATTCTAAATGTTCATCAAAGCATACCTGCTTTAGAAGACACTCTCAGTAATCAGATAGGTAGGTGACCAATTCTGTGTCATAGTCTGTATATGCAAATTATGTATGTAAATCTCTTTACCTGGACACTTGTGTCCTTGCTCAAAGGCTCATAAACAAAGGGGTCAGAATGGTGGAAACAGAGGTTATACAAGGACTCTATAAATTGGACTTTCCTACAATATGGCTGATCTAACTGCTGCTGTTACTGCTGGGTACCCAGTCTTCCAAAGCAGAGATCAGTCTTGAATCTGATGTTGCATCACAATTCAAATGAATCTGATCATAGTTTGTTACTTTTTGACTCCAACTACTAAGGCTTGTCCTTCCTGGAGTAGCTACTTATTAAGGATATGAATATGTTTTCCCTGTTTACTATGACTTCTGCTAGCAAAGTTCCTGCAGTGTTAAGGTATTTCAGTTAACACTGCCTCTGACCAGGGAATTTAATAATAAAAGAAGTAAGACAATGGGTATATACCCTGGGCATGTACAGATCTTAGCACATTTTCTATCATTCAAAAGCAGTGGTCCTTATAAACAAGTGGAAAGAGCCTATAGAAAACCCAGTCATGGTGCCAGCTAGAGAATAACATCTTGCATGATTGAATTCAGTCTCTCTGGAAGTAGAGATGAATATACATTTTTCGTTGAACCTTAATCTGTAACAAAGAAGACAACTAAACTAAAAAATTATTAGAAAATTTTGATATGAAGTGGACTTTTTACTCTGGTGACAGTTACATCTCTGATATACTATATCACATTGTTTCCCAAAGTATGTTTCCCAATTGCTATGTTTCCAGGATATGTTAGTCATTGCTTTGTTGTTATTTTAGAAAATCTGTAGTTAAACAAGGTTAAATAGGTTTCTTCATTATTGAACTTTTCAGAACCTAGAAGATGATAGTGTGCTTTGTGAATTTCTAAAAAGAGTACGTAGCATCGGCATATCCCAAATGTATTTGATCACAAAACCTTATTTTTTGTGTGTGAACTATTTATATTATTGTGCAACAGGGAAACATTCAGTGAAAAACTTAAGCAGATGTTTTGACTAATGGTATCTGGATAGTAATCAATCAAGTAAGTAGTAATGATAAAACTACTGCTATTAGGTTTATAAAGAAATAGGAAACTGTAATAAAAAAGCACTGCATGTGAGACGAGATCACACCACTGCATGCTAGCCTGGGTGAAAGAGTGAGACTCTGTCAAAAAAAAAAAAAATCACTGCATAAATAGGTTGGTGGATTTGGTGTAAACATACTGTTCTGTAGAATTCTGTAAACATCTGTTAGCTTCAGGAAAGCTAGTATCTAGAAGTGACAAATTATCAACCAAAGAGTAGTTATATTCCCACTTTCCCAGTATCTCCATTTACTAGTATTCAGATCAAAGCGGTGAAACAGATGTTATATTCTGGATTCATAGACATTATTTAGTCAGGGAAACTTAAAAGTTTCTCAGAAAATATTGGAGGTTTATTCTTTTTTATAGCCAGGTATCAGAATATGCAATTAATGTTCACAAAATCTAGAAGTAAGTTGATCAACAACTTTGTCAAATACAGAAAGTACCTGAATATCTACAAAGAAAGGCACAATTGTTTTTTATTTTCTGAACATTTTGAAACCAAGAAAAGGCATAGTATTCTCAGAAACTGACAAGCTACTAAATAAAGAAATGAAATTGTCGATCTTCAACTGGCGCTTGAAGATACAAAAGTAACTAATGAATAATCCTGTTGACTCGGTTTGTTTTTGGTATTTCTAAAATTACAGAAAAAACTAGGAGGACCTAAGTGACAGGCATGACATATTAACCTTTACAAATGAACAAGTACTTTAAATCCATGCACTGAAGGGGCATTTGATTTTTGTCTTCAGAAGAAGAAAACCATTAAACACTTAATAGTGCTGTTAGAGCTCAAAAAGATCTGACATTTTAAATAAGTAATGCTGTGTAGCCTATCCTGTGACAAAAGTACCACTTATTTCAAACTTCCATTCTCTCCTCTATTTGCCTTATAAATGTCATTCTTTCCCAAATCAGGGTTATTTTAAGAGTAAATTATAAACTTCTTAGATTAAGTTTTCCCAAGTAGAACGGATATAAATATTTGAATTGGAAATCATGTTATTTAAAACAGGTCATCAGTTACTAGAAACAATTATTTCAAACACTAATGTTGTTGGCTGGTATGGGCTGTTACCACGGGATTTCTTGTGCCAATATTTTACTCAAGTTTTTTACCAATTTACAAGTGTTCATTTGATAATAGTTAATCAACAATATGGACCATGCTCAGCCAAAATTGAACAAATTATTTACTCAATGAGCAGATCATAGTAAGAGGGTTAAACACGCAATTTCTAAAGCTTAATTTTGTATGTGTTACATTAAAGAAAAGTATGCAATTACCTCTCTATTTAAATCATTATAAGAAGCAAAGCTAGAAATTTTAACTCGAGGAAGGGGAAAGGTGGCTCATGTAGCCAGACAATATTACATACCTTATAAATTAGGGTTTTATCCTCTCTGGTTTATATAAACACTGCTATTTATCTAATTTGTTAAAATTAAAAACTCAAGTTTTACCGTTAGGTCTAAGGAGTTGCATGTTGAGTTCTCTAATATGCTGTTGATTATAGAAACTGTGACATAAAAGAATGATACTCTCTTGGTCAAGATCATTGCGAACCAGAAATACATGTATACATGTATAAAAACACACACACACACACGTGTGTGTGTATATATATATATACACCACCAGGACATATATATAAAACTGGGTGTGTATAACTGTATATATATATAACTGTGTGTAGGTATATATATATATACACACACACATATATACACACACATACATATATGTATAGATATAGATATAGGTATAGGTATACATAATTTTTCTACCTTCATGGTCAAAAACTCTTAAGCCCTAAAATAGCTGAAAGTGTCAGACTGGCAGAATTTCTAGATTAAAATATTCACCCCTCAAAATAATAAACAAACATAACAAACCTTAGCTAAGGTATTCAAAACATGTTAGTTTTTTGATGTTTAAAATAATTTTTAGTGAGTGATAAAACGCTTAAAGTTGATAACACATTAAGCTCCCTGGGCAGGGGGAGGGCAGCACCCATTTCAATAGCTACAGGTAGCACTTTCCCCTGCTGGAGCCAGGGAGGCTGGACAGCTTGGTTCCAAGGCTTGTCCCCATGGCCCAACACAGCAGCTGTGGAAGTCTGCAGCCAGAGTGCCTCTTCAGGCATAAACCTGACCCATCCTGCCTCACTGGGTGGGGCTTCCCTGCAGGATCTCCAATAACCCCAGCCGGAGTCTCAGGGACATAATTCAGATCTCCCTGGGCCTGAGGCCCTTGAGGGAGGGGTGGCCACAGTCTCTGTGAACCAGCAGACTTAGTCTATCCTCCTGGTAGTTCTGAGGAATCTGGACAGCATAGATGAGTGGGTTCCCCCCGAGTGAAGCACACCCTCTCCACCAAGGGACAAAGTGCTTCATTAAACAGGTCCTGCTCCCCATGCCACCCAAGTGGGTGAGATCCTCCAACAGGGGTTGTCAGATACCCTATACAGGAATGATCCTACTGGCATCAGGTTGGTGCCACCCAAGGTCAGAGGTCCCAGAAGAAGGAGCAAGCACCCATCTTTGCTGTTCTTCAGTCTCCTTGAGTGACATCTCTAGACACAGGAATGAATCAGATGAATAGGGCCTGAAGTGAATCCCCAGCAAACTGCAGCAGCCCTACAGAAGAGGGACCTGACTATTGAAAGAAAAACAAAAAGCAGAAAGCAACAAAAAAGGCCCCACAAAAACCCCATCCAAGGGTCAGCAGCCTCAGAGACCAAAACTAGACAAACTCACGATAATGAGAAAGAGTCAAAAAAAAAAATGCTGAAAACTCAAAATACCAGAGTGCCCCTTCTCCCCCAAATGATCACACTGTCTCTCCATCAAGGGCACAGAAAAGTATGGAGGATCAGATGGACGAATTGACAGAAGTAGGCTAAAGAAGATGGGTAATAAAAAACTATGCTGAGCTAAAGGAGCATGTTCTGACCCAAGGCAAAGAAGCTCAGAACCTTGATAAAAGGTTAGAAGAATTGCTAACTAGAATAATCAGTTTAGAGAGGAATATAAATGACCTCATGGAGCCGAAAAACACAGCATGAGAACTTCATGAAGCATGCACAAGTATCAACAGCCAAATTAACCAAGTAGAAGAAAAGATATCAGAATTTGAAGACCACCTTACTGAAATAAGTCATACCGACAAGAATACAGAAAAAACAATGAAAAGGAATGAACGAAGCCTTCAAGAAATATGGGACTTTATAAAAAGACTGAACCTACAATTGATTGGAGTACCTGAAGGAGATGGGGAGAATGGAAAGGAGCTGGAAAACATGCTTTAGGATATTATCCAAGAGAACTTCCCCAACCTAGCAAGACAGGCCAAAATGCAAATTCAGGAAACACACAGAACATTATTAAGATACTCTGCAAAATGATCACTCCCAAGACACATAATCATCAGATTCTCCAAGGTTGAAATAAAGGAAAAACTGTTAAGGGCAGCCAGAGAGAAAGGCCAGATCACCTACAAAGGAAAGCCCTTCAGACTAATAGTTGGCTTCTCAGCAGAAACGCTACAAGCCAAAAGAGATTGGGGGCCAAATTTCAACATTCTTTTTTTTTTTTTTTTTTTTGAGACGGAGTCTTGCTCTGTCACCTAGGCTAGAGTGCAAGGGCACAATCTTGGCTCACTGCAACCTCTGCCTTCCAGGTTCAAGTGAGTCTCCTGCCTTAGCTTCCTGCACATGCCACCATGCCCAGCTAATTTTTTGTATTTTTAGTAGAGACAGAGATTTACTGTGTTAGTCAGGATGGTCTCAATCTCCTGACCTCGTGATCCACCTGCCTCGACCTTCCAAAGTGCTGGGATTACAGGCGTGAGCCACCATGCCTGGCCAACATCTTAAAGAAAAGAATTTTCAACCTAGAATTTCATATCCGGCCAAGCTAAGCTTCATAAGTGATGGAGAAATGAAATCCTTTCCTGACAAGCAAATGTTAAGGGACTTCGTTACCACCAGGCCTGCCATGCAAAAGCTCCTGAAAGAAGCACTAAATACGAAAAGGCAAAACTGGTACCAGTGACTGCAAAAACATACCAAAATGTGAAGACCAATAACACTAAGAAGAAACTGCATCAACTTGTGTGCAAAATAACCAAATAGCATCATGATGACGGATCAAATTCATACATAACAATACCAACCTTAAATGTAAATGGACTAAATGACCCAATTAAAAGACACACACTGGTAAACTGGATAAGGAGTCAAGAACCATTGATTTGCTATATTCAGGAGACCCATGTTATGTGCAAAGACACACACAGGCTCAAAATAAAGGCTAAAAATTAACCAAGAAAATGGAAAGAAAAACAAACAAAAAAAGCAGGGGTTGAAATCCTAGTCTCTGACAAAACAGACTTTAAACCAACAAAGATCAAAAAAGACAAGGAGGATCATTACATAATGGTAAAGGGAACAATTTAACAAGAAGAGCTAACTATTCTAAATATATATGCAGCCAAAACAGGAGCACTCAGATTCATAAAACAAGTTCTTAGAGACATATAAAGAAACTTAGACTCCCACAAAATAATAGTGGGAGACTTTAAAACTCACTGCCAGGATTAGACAGATTAACAGGACAGAAAATTAACATGGATATTCAGGACTTGAACTCAGCTCTAGATCAAGTGGACCTAGTAGATGTCTACAAAACTCTCTACCCTAAATCTACAGAACATACATTCTTCTCAGTGACACATGGCACTTATTCTAAAATTGACCACATATTTGGAAGTAAAACACTGCTCAGCAAAGGCAAAATAACTGAAATCATAACAAACAATCTTTCAGACCATATTGCAATCAAATTATAACTCAGGATTAAGAAACTCACTCAAACCACACAATTCCAAGAAAATTGAACAATCTGATCTGAGTGACTCCTGGGTAAATAATGAAATTAAGACAAAAATCAAGAAGTTCTTTGAAAACAATGAGAACGAAGAGACAGGGTACCAGAATCTCTGGGACAAAACTAAAACAGTGTTAAGAGGCAAATTTATAGCAGTAAATGCCTGTATAGAAAGCTAGAATGATCTCAAATCAACACTCCAACATCACAATTAAGAGAGCCAGAGAGGCAAGAACAGACTAATTTAAAAGCCAGCAGAAGACAAGAAACAACTAAGATCAGAGAAGAACTGAAGGACATAGAGACACAAAAAGCCCTCCAAAAAATCAATGAATCCAGGAGCTGGTTTTTTGAAAAAATTAACAAAGCAGAATGACCACCAGCTAGACAAATAAAGGAGAATGAGAGAAGAATTAAGTAGACACAATAAAAAATGATAAAGTGGATATCACCACTGACCCCATCAGAGATACAAACTACCATCAGAGAATACTATAAACACCTCTACACAAATAAACTAGAAAATCTAGAAGAAATTGATAATTTCCTGGATACATCCACCATACCAAGACTAAACCAGGAAGAAGTTGAATCCCTGTAGAGACCAATACCAAGTTCTGAAATTGAGGCAGGAATTAATAGCCTACCAGCCAAAAATAAATCCAGGACCAGACGGATTCACAGCTGAATTCTACCAGAAATACAAAGAGGAGCTGGTACCATTTATTCAGAAACTATTCTAAACAATTGAAAAGGAGAGACTCCTCCCTAACTCATTTTATGAAGCCAGCATCATCTTGATACCCAAACTGAGAAGATACACAGGAAAAAAAGAAAACTTCAGGACAAGATCCCTGATGAACACTGATGCACAAATCCTCAATAAAATACGGGCAAGCAAATTCAGCAGCACATCAAAAAACTTATCCACACTATCAAGTTGGCTTCATCCCTGGGATGAATAGGTCCTGAAGGGAGTGCTAAATATGGAAAGAAAAGACTATTACTGGCCACTACAAAAACACACATAAGTACACAGAACAATGACACTATAAAGCAACCACACAAACAAGTCTGCATAATAACCAGCTAACAATATGATGACAGGATCAAATCCATACATATTAATACTAACCTTGAATGTAAACAGGCTAAATACTCCAATTAAAAGGCACAGAATGGCAGGTTGGATAAAGAAACAAGATCCTATTGTATGCTGTCTTTAAGAGCCCCATATATCTCACATATAATGACACCTATAGGTTCAAAGTAAAGGGATGGGGGAAAATCTACCAAACAAAGAGAAAACAGAAAAACGCAGGGATTGCTATTCTAACTCCAGACAAAACAGGTGTTAAACAAACAAAGATCAAAACAGACAAAGACCATTACATAATGGTAATGGCTCAGTTCAACAAGAAGACCTGACTATTCTAAATATATATGCACCCAACACAGGAGCATCCAGATTTTAATAAACAGGACTTAATAGACGTCTACAGAACTCTTCATCCAAAAACAACCAAATATACATTCTTCTCATCTGTGCATGACACATACTCTAAAATTAACCACACAAGTAGTTATAAAACAATCCTTAGCAAATTAAAAAAGAAAACCTGAAGCATGAAATCATACCTAGTACATTCTCAGACCACAGAACAATTAAAATAGAAATACATACTAGGAAAATTGCTCAAAACCATACAATTACATGTAAATCAAAAAACTTGCTCCTGAATAATTTTGGGGTTAATAATGAAATTAAGGCAGAAATCAAGAAATTCTTTAAAACTATTGAAAACAAAGATATAACATATCAGGATATCTAGGACACAGCTAAAGCAGTGTGAAGAGGGACACTTATAGCACTAAACATTCACATCGAAAAGTTAGACAGATCTCAAATTTACAACCTAACATCACATGTGGAAGAATTAGAGAAACAAGAGCAAACTAAGTCCAAAACTAACAAAATAAAAGAAATGATCAAAATCAGAGCTAAACCAAAAAAAAAACTGAGATGTGAAAAACCATACAAAATATCAATGAACCCAGGGGATGGTTCTTTGAAGGAATTGATAAGATAGATGGACTGCTACCTAGACTAATAAAAAATGAAAGAAGATCCAAATAAACACAATCAGAAATAATAAAAGAGACATTACCACTGACCCCACAGAAATACAAAAAGCTGCAGAGACTACTACGAATACCTCCATGCTCACAGGCGAGAACACCTAGAAGAAATGGATGAATTCCTGAAAACATACAACCTACAAAGATTGAACGAGGAAAAAATTGAATCTCTGACCAATAACAAGTTCTAAAATGGAATCAGAAATACATAGCTTCAAAAAAAACCTAAGACCAGACAGATTCATAGCCAAATTCTACAAGACATATAAAAAAGAGCTAGTATTGGCTGGGTGCGGTGGCTCACACCTGTAATCCTAGCACTTTGGGAGTTGGGTGGGCAGATCACCTGAGATCAGGAGTTTGAGACCAGCCTGGGCAACACAGTGAAGATCACGCTACTGCACTCCAGCCTGGGTGACAGAGCAAGATTCTGTCTCCAAAAAAAAAAAAAGAAAAAAAAGCTAGTAATCTTTCTACCAAAATAATTATTCCAAAAAATTGCAAAGGGGGGGACTCTTCCATAACTCATATTACGAGTCAAGCATCATCCTGATACCAAAACCCGGCAGAAACACCACAAAAGAGGAAAATGTAAGGCCAATATCCTTGATGAAAATCAATGCGAAAATCCCCAACAAAATACTAGCAAACCAAATCCAGCAGCAAAGCAAAAAGCTAATCCACTCGATTAAGGAAGCTTTATCTCTGGGATGCAAGGTTGGTTCAATAAACACAAATCAATACATATAATTCATCACATAAGCAGAACTAAAGACAAAAACCACATAATTATCTCAATAGAAGAGGAAAAGCTTTTGATAAAATTCAACACTTTTTCATGTTAAAAACCCTCAACAAACTGAGCATTGAAGGAACTTCTGGCAAAATAATAACACCCAAAATAATAAGAGCCATTCATGACAAACCCACGGCCAACATCATAATAATTGGGCAAACACTGGAAGCAACCACCCTTGAAAACCAGAACAAAACAAGGATGTACCATCTCACTGCTTCTATTCATAGTACTGGAAGTCCTGGCCAGAGCAATCAGGCAAGAGTGGGAAATAAAAGGAAACCAAACAGAAAGAGACGAAGTCAAACTATCTCTGTTTACAGATTCTATATGTAGAAAATCCCATAGTGTCTGCCCACAGGCTCCTTAATTTGATACACAACTTCAGAAAAGTTTCAGGATACAAAAATCAATGTATAAAAATCAGTTGCTTTCCTACATACCAACATCCAAGCTGAGGGCCAAATCAAGAACACAATCCCATTTACAGCATGCACAAAGAGAATAAAATACACAGGAATACAGCAAACCAGGGAGGTGAAAGATCTATACAATGACAACTACAAAACACTCCTCGAAGAAACCAGAGATAATATATACAAATGAAAAAAGCACTCCATGTTCATGGATAGGAAAAATCAATATTGTTAAAATGGCCATACTGCCCAAAGCAATTTAATATTCACTACTGTACCTATCAAACTACCAATGATATCCTTCACAGAATTAGAAGAAACTATTTAAAAATTCATATGGAAGTGGAGCACAGTGGGTCACGCCTGTGATCCAAGCACTTTGGAAGGCTGAGGCAAGCGGATCATTTGAGGTCAGGAGTTTGAGACCATCCTGGCCAACATGGCGAAACCATATCTCTACTAAAAATACAAAAATTAGCTGGGTGTGGTGGCACATGCCTCTAATTCCAGCTACTCAGGAGGCCAAGGCAGGAGAATCACTTGAACAGGGAGGCAGAGGTTGCAGTGAACTGAGATTCTGCCACTGCACTCCAGCCTGGGTGACAGTGAGACTGTAAAAAAAAAAAAAAATTCATATGGAATCAAAAGAGCTTGAATAGCAGAGGTAATCCTAAGCAAAAAGACCAAAACTGAAAGCATCTCATTCCTGGACTTCCATACTGCAAGTCTACAGTGACCAAAACAGCAAGGCACTGGCACAAAAACAGAAACGTAGACCAATGGAACAGAACAGAAAGCCCAGAAGTAATGCCACACAGCTACAATCATATGATCGTCCACAAAGTGGACAAAAGCAAGGAATCGGGAAAAGACTTCCTAATCAATAAATGGTGCTGGCATAATTGGCTAACCATATGCAGAAGATTGAAGCTGGGCTCCTTCCTTACACCATATACAAAAATCAACTCAAGGTGGAATAAAGACTAAAATCTAAAACCAAAAACTACACAAACTTTGCAGTATAACCTAGGAATTGTTGACCATGTAAAGATTTCATGATGATGATGCCAAAAGCAATTGCAACAAAAACAAAAATTGACAAATGGGACCTAAAGAAGAACTTTTGCATAGCAAAAGAAATGATCCACACAGTAAACAACCAACCTACAGAATGGTAGAAAATTTTTGCAACCTATGCATCTGACAAAGGTCTGATATCCAGAATCTATTAGGAACTTAAACAAACTTACAAGCAAAAAACAGCCCCATTAAAAAGTGGGCAAAGGACATGAATACAAACTTTTCGAAAGAAGACATACACATGGCCAAGAAGCATAGGGAAAAAATGTTCATCATCACTATCATTACAGAAATGCAAACAAAACCACAATGAGATATCATCTCAAATCTGTCAGAATGTCCATTATTAAAAAATCAAAAAATAACAGATGTTGGTGAGGTTGCAGAGAAAAGGGAATGCTTATACACTGTTGGTGGAAGTGTAAATGAGTTCAACCATTATGAAAAGGAGTTTGGTGATTTCTCAAAGAACTTGAAGCAGAATTACCATTCAACCCAGCAATCTTACTATTTCATATATACCCAAGCAAATATAAATTGTTTTACCGTTAAGATATATGCACACATATGTTCATTGCAGAACTATTCGCAATAGCAAAGACATGGAATTGACCTAAATGCCCATCAATGGTAGACTGAATAAAGAAAATGTAGTACATATACACCATGGAATATTATGCAGCCATAAAAAAGAATGAGATCATGCTCTTTGCAACCACATGGATGAAGCTGGAGGCTATTATCCTAAGCAAACTAACAGAAACAGAAAACCAAATACCACATATTCTCACTTATAACTGGCAGCTAAACACTGAGTATATATGGACACAAAGAAGAAAACAACAGAATCTGGGGCCGACCTGAGGGTCGAGGGAGGAAGTAGGGTGAGAACTGAAAAACTACCTGTCAGGTATTATGCTTATTACCTGGGTGACAAAATAATCTGTACATCAAACCCCTGTGACAAGCAATTTACCTAAATAATAAACCAGCATGTGTTCCCCTGAAGCTAAAATAAAAGTTAAAAAAAAATTGGCTGGGCGCGGTGGCTCACGCCTGTAATCCCAGCACTTTGGGAGGCGGAGGCGGGAGGATCACGAGGTCAGAAGATCGAGACTATCCTGGCTAACATGGCGAAACCCCATCTCTACTAAAAAAATACAAAAAATTAGCCGGGCGTGGTGGCAGGTGCCTGTAGTCCCAGCTAGTCGGGAGGCTGAGGCAGGAGAATGGTTTGAACCCAGGAGGCGGAGGTTGCAGTGAGCCGAGATCGCGCCACCGCACTCCAGCCTGGGCGACAGAGCGAGACTCCGCCTCAAAAAAAAAAAAATTATTTGTGTATGTTTTATCACACACAGCATATATAAAAAGCCTTAAATGAAATTAGAAAATTGCCTTTTTCTTTCTTGTTTCTGCCACAGATCTACACAGTGCTCCCTTTTGTAGTTGTTAGTTGAATGATAATTGATGTGTGTTCCAAAAAGATTTAAATCATAGTACAATTTCCTAGCTCAGTAATGATGATATAGACTTAAAAAATGTTATAGAGGAAATTCATTAACCATTTCCCTCTCTTTCCCTCCTATTTACCTTGAAATTTTATGGCTTCATTGAGTTATTAACTGACTGTGATTATAAATCAAAATTAAATGAAGAAGGGGTAAATTATACAGTAACCTATTAAAGATTTTTGATTAATTTAATTAGCTTATTTTATATTGTTTCTGTACTACCATTTTATTTTGTATTATTTCTGTATCTTCATAGGTTCATTAAAGGCAGTAAAAATTAATTCTTTTTCTTTTGTACTACAAAGCTTTCTATGTGCCATTCCACAGACCTTATCACATTGTACTGGAGTCACCAACATACTTTCCTGATTTTCCAGTGGACTGTGAGCTCTTTGAAAGAAAGACTCTATTGTATCGTTTTACTATCCTCAATACAAAATACTTAATGAATACATGAATTAATAAATCAAGGAGTGAATGAAATTTTCTTTACTGCCGTAGATGCCAAATATAAAAAGATGGCTAAGATACAGTCTCAACTTTTGAAGACCTTATAATACACTGAAGAATGGATATAAAGAAACAATTACAAAAATATAACCATAGTTATAGAGTTATACAAATAGAAATACAGAGAAAGAGCACCTACGAAGAAGGAGGGATAGTTGTGAAGTCTCGGCAGAGAGCTTTGGGAAAGATCTTATCGAAGAATGCCTGAGTCGGTCTCCATCAGAAGAAGGAGAGAGTGTGGGAAGAAAGAGTACACAAATTAGAGTAGAAAATGGGAGCAAGAAGAAAAGATGATAAATGGTGTGTTGAATATGATGAATTAGAAGTAGTTACATTTTATGGACCACTGGGGAGAGAGATGCTTAGAGATAAAGTTGGAGAGGTAGACCAGGCTGGGCTCTTGATTCAGGAACTTGTGTTTTATCTTTTAGGTAATGAAAAATCATTGAGGGGCTTAAAGGTGAACAATGACATGGTCAGATATATTCTTTGCATGGGAAAAAGTTGAATATAAAGGGACCGGATGCTATTTTCCTAATCCTAGTAAGAGAGTTGAGGGCTTAAACTAGGGTGGATGCAGGAAAGAAGAGGCGAAAAGTTGTATAAATGTAGAATTCTTTCTTCTCTGTGAAGAAAAATAGCCTTCTTGCTATCATTTTATAACACTTAGCACAATGCATTAGAGTCAACCACATTTAATTTGAGTCAAACTTGAAATTTGATCTGGTATGGGAGATATGTGAATGGGAGAAGCCAAAAATGTATCCAAGGTTTCCAGTTTGGTTTATTGGAAGGACAGTGGTGTTGAAATATCAACAGAGAGATAGGCAAATATGAACGAGGTAGAATTCAGAATTAGGCAATGCTTATTCATTTCTTGATTAATTGAGTTTCAGATTTCTGCAATATTTTAAGGTGGAGATCTTCCATAGATAGTTGATTGTGAAGCTGGATATAAGTGTGAAGTACAGTCAAGATACCTAGAGTCAAGATAGTGATATTAGCTGTGTCTGGATGTTGAAATGCTAGCAGATGAAAAAAAAAATCCAAGCAGAGAGTATAGAACAAGAAGAAAAACAGTCTGAGAAGACAGCCTTAAGAACTAGCTCTAGTTAATGGTGGACATACAAGAACTCATGAAAATACACATGGTAAGACATTGTATAGATAATATATACATGGTAAGATACACATAGTTCAGAGATGATATGGTAAGACATAGAATAGAAGTTTGTTGTCTGAGGACTTAATGGAATAGAAAATCTTAATGTCAAAGAGTAAAAAATTGTTTCAAATCCAATAGTATTTCAATAATGACATCTTAAAAGAATGTGCCCTGGACTTGACAGGTTGGGAGCTATTGGTGGCCTTGCCAAGAACAGTTTCAGTAGAAAGCAGAGACAAGGGCCAGGTTGCCATTGTAAAGGAGAGAATTTCTCAAAGGTTCTTACTATGCTCTGGGTCATCAAACTTCAAGAAGTACTGAATTGAAAATTTGGCTTACATTATTTATTTATTTATTTATTTATTTTTAATCTGTTCCTTCACACTTCACAAATCAAATTTTTTTCAAGTAATCCAAATTAACAAAACAATGGGATCTGTGTTCATTAGAACACACTTTTAGACAGATGAATCATAAGCCGTATGTGTTTATATTGAAACCCAAACAAAATGACACATTGAAAGAAACCATCTTAAAGGGAGAGCAGAAGAGATTTGTAATGAGGAATAATGTTATAAATAACTACTAAAAATGTAAAAGTGACTATTTCTAAATATCCTCAACTTGTAAGAGAATACCAGTGTTACTTGACATTTGGCCCAGCTGTATATAGACAGAGACATGCTGAAAAGGGGAATAACAATATTGTTTTTGGAGGGATTTTTATATTTATTCATCTAGATTTGAACAGAAATTAAATAATACCTTAGTATATTGTTCTGAGCCAGAGGTTAGTGAAAATGCTGATGTAAGAAGAGCAAAACACTTGATCTATCATTCATAGCCTCCAAACTTGTCAGAAACAGCTATCTTCTTTCTGATACAATTTCTTTTCCCAGATTGGAAAATATAATACCATCAAGTACCCAGGCACCTGTGTATTTAGAATCCATTACGATGGTATCCTGAGACTTCTCACACAAAGGTGCCTGGCCTAAAGACACTTTTTAATATTATAATACATTCACATGTGAAAAAAGTTAATAGAATATTGTTTGCTTTTTGTATCTTCTCTCTTTCCCTTGACTCTTTCAATTATAAGTTTATGTTTGAATGTTTGTATGAGGGAGAAAGTCATTTTTATTTTTCTTCTTCAGGAATAAAATAATTTCCTTAGAAGTAAATGGAAAAATCTAACACAGACCAGAGCAAAATCACTGATATTAGGAACACCTACACCAAAGTGAATCCATCATCAAATGAGACACTTTAATATATACAGACACCACTGATTCTCCCTACACCACCATTGCCCATTTTATCTCAAAGAACTTTGAATCTAAATAATTTGCTATCTGTAGCTCCAGGAAGAAACTGAAAACCAGTTAGGAATCTGTGAGCAAAGACTTGATAGTTCTCCACACTCATGTGCATTATCTGTTCTCTTGATGCTAATTGAATCTTTTCTTACACACTGGCTCACAATTACAACCACAAAACCCAACCAAAATATCTAATAATCACTGTGACAGAATATCCAATCTGGAACAGGGAAAATAGATTGTAGCAATCATAGAAAATCTGTTTTATGTTACTTATTTCTTTATCAAGACACTACTAAGTAGTCCCTCTCATAAAAAAAAGAGAAGCAATTGAAAATTAATCAACTACACCTATAAATACCTACTGCTTATCTGATCTGTGCAGATCCTTCACCAGGTGCTATGCAGGATAAAGGAATCATGTGATGATCCACACCTTCAAGAACTAAGCTAACTTAAGGCGTGAATGCACAGATGTGCTTCTTGGAGTCATTTCCAAAATGGGGTTTTTCTCTGAAGCTCCATCTGTATAAGATGTTACTAAAAACATTTAAGCTCTCACACTGTCTTCCTTCCTGCAATAGCTACCTCATAACCAATGTCACAATTTTGTAAGGCAGTGATACTATTCAATTATAGTGGACAAAAGGGCATGGGCAAAACAAACAAAAATGTACTTATTTAAGTGAAAAAGAAGAAAAAAGCCCTGTTATTTCCTTAAAGGTAATATCAGCAGGAATGACAGTGGTGATAAAAATGTTATCATTTCGTAAGCGTTTATTATCTGTCAGGCAGGAGACTTAGAGCTTTACAAATTCTAATTCACTTAAGTCTGCCAAGAACTGTTTAAAGCAGATAAAATCCTGATTTTACTAACACAGATAGCAAAGATAATAAATATTAAACAACTTGTCCAAAGTTATATAGTTGGGAAATAAGGAAACTAGAGTTCAAACCCATATCCTTAAACACTACACTATTCTGTCTTACGTATGCATGCCACTATAGACTTCACAAAATCTATATAACATATTTAAACAGACTCCTAAACTGTCTTTTGTCCACTGAATCCTATAATGAGAGACCACCTTTATATACCCTCAGTTATTTTCATCAGTAAAGTAGGATCATATTACCTGTTGTGATACTGCATTTCTCAAAGGTTGCCAAATGTTGCACAAGTGCTTGTTAAAAATACAATTTTGGCCTTCTTCTATTGAGAAGTATGGTCTGTATTTCACTTCCTTGAATATGGAAAGGTCTATGACTATGACACAACTGAATCTATGTGACATCCAAGGCTAACTGATAAAAAGTTATTGAGCTTCCTCCTGGTTCTCCTGAGGCGCTCATCCAAGGAACCCAGGTGCCATGTTGTGGAGAAGTCAAGTAGCCACATGGAAAAACAATTTGTACATGGTCTGGCTATAGCCTCAACTAAGGCAATGCCAGCTACCTTCTAGCATAAACCATCAGACAAATGAATGAGTA
The DNA here is from genome assembly GCF_000001405.40 of Homo sapiens. Classification (NCBI taxonomy): domain Eukaryota; kingdom Metazoa; phylum Chordata; class Mammalia; order Primates; family Hominidae; genus Homo; species Homo sapiens. The sequence goes on from NC_000002.12 coordinate 52,779,079, forward strand.
TGCCTTTAGATTATTCCATTTTTTAGCATCTGAGCTGCCCCAAATTATGTCTTGTGGGGCTGAGACAAACTCTGCACACTTAGCCCTGTTCAAATTTCAGACTGTGAACAAAATAAATGTTGTCATTTACTTCAGGCCACTAAATTTTGGATCAGTACGCTACACAGAAATACATAGCCACAACACCTGTCTTAATTCACAGTATAGTGTGTTCTAAATGAGATAATGCATACTAATATTGCAAATAACTGAGAAAATATGTGATTATTATTGCTTTTGCTTGTGTTATAATCACTCTATGGAGTCACTTCAAATAATTACATTTATTCTAATATCTTTTATTTCTCCTACTAAAAGTATGGTCCACAAATCAGCAGCATAAATGTAACCTGGGAGATTGTTAGACATGCAGAATCTGGGATCCCACCCCAGATCTACTGAATCAGAATTCTGCACTTTGACAAGATCCCTCGGTGATTCCTATGCATATTAAGTTTTGTAAGTACCAGGAGAGACCACTTAAGCAGGTCAATAATTGTTGTGTAAGATAGTTCCATGATTAGTCACGTGTACTGGCAGCCTAAGCGAGCTACTACTTCTATGGATAGACACTAACTCCTAGTCTTCTATAAATAGTAATGGTGATCCAATAAGAAAACCTCTGCATTTTCATCAGGAAATTCATGAGAAATAAAAACGTTCAAAAGCTCTCTCTTTCAAGATGTGCGGAAGGTTGACAGAAGCAACCCAGCATGATCTGACAGATGGTGTATGTCAGAGGAATGAGTGGAAAAGAAGAAAAAGAGCCAGCCTTTCAAAGTACCTGATTATAGTTTTACCAAAGAGCTGCCTTTAGGCCAATTTTTCAGAGTCTAGTAGCTTCCAAATGTTTTGGATCAAGGGCTCACTATTCCAATATTTTGTAGGTAACTGGCTAGCTGGATTGGCAATTACCTACATGGATAAAAGTGAGCATTCCTGTCTGTGCTTTTTTTTAAAAAAAAATTAAAACTAGTGGTTTGAGAAATGAATACAAATCATTAATAAGGTACTGTGAGACCAGAGCCTCTTCAAGTTTAATTTAACCTGGTGTGTCCACTCAAAGATTTCTATCATATCTTCACTTTAAACACTCTTTGGCCCTTACCCTTAATCTAAATATTAGTTTGTAAATACTTATGTAAACAATAAATGTACAAGGCCCATACCATTACTTAGATGCTGTAAACATGGTTAAGGACTGCAGAAAAATAATTAGGACTCCAAGAAACAGCTTGTATGTCTGAAAATGGGAAAAAAGCAAAGCCAAGCCGATGTGTCTTACAATGGATTTAAAAACATGGTATCTTTATTAACCATAATAGTAATAATAAATCTCATCATTATTATGTATTTGAAGCTTTCTAGTTGTCCCTGTCAATATCTCTGTGAGATTAGCAATCATCTATTTTCACATTTCCAATGAAGAAGGTAAAACACAATGAGTATAGGAGATTAATATAAGGTAACATCTCCAGTCAGTGTTTGTGGTTGAGAAAAAGAAACTACTATTCATATTTCCTAACTCCCGGTGGGAACTTATTGCTTTGGAAAATAAAAAAAGATACCTAAATTTTAGGTATGAGTTATAACTAAAAGCCACACATATGGAACCATAGTCTCTAGCACAACATTGTTCAATTTCAGTAGGATTTTCTTCAACTGTGGGAATGCTCTTTAGCTACGCTGCCCCATATGGTAACTATTAGGCACATGTGTCTAGTTGCATGAAATAATGGCTATTGTGACTAAGAAACAGAATTTTGGGGTTTGTTCCATTTTAATTAATTTAAGTTAAATTTAATTTTGCTCCAAAGAATGAAAGCATGAAAGATTGAGAGCCAGGTTTTGGAAAACCCATCCTCCAGCAACGATTTCTAAGCGTCTTGCACAAGGCACCTGCAAAAACCCCAGAACAAGAAAGAAAGGAAAATGATAGAGTGACTATAGGCCAGTGAACCGGGAGTCTGGGGAATCAGATTAGAGTCTTGAACTCAGCTCTGTCATTTGCAAAATAAAGGCATTGAAGTTGATATGTTCTAAAGCATTTTTCAGTTACAAAATTACGTGATTTTAGCTAGATGACAGTTGGTTTCTTCCTGCCCCTTTCTCTATTTTCTCTGTCTTTAGCATCATCCTGACGTTCCTTGTAACCTCACCAAATTCAAAAGCACCATTTTCAATCTGCAATTTCATGTCTTCTCATAAGCAAATTAAGGATAATTTTCTTGTGGTTGTCATTTTCCACTTTAAAAGAGCCAGGTAGCACACTCATCCAGCTGCTGAGATCCCACAAAAGCAATTAATTCAAAGCATGACTTTGTTCTTCCTATTCTCTTGTCCTTTCAGAGTCATGAATCACGGTTATTTGGACTTAGTACTTATTCTTACTTTGCCTTAGGATGTTCCAATTTTTTTTTTTAAACAATGGTCTCTTCCACATCTACACTAAGAAATATGCTCTATGCCCTAGGTAATTCCTTTTTCTTACTTCACATTAAATGCAAAAGGGAAAAAATGATATAAAATCCTCCATTTCCTTATAACTTCTCTTTAATTCTCTACCCTTCAATTTTACTAGGGCCACTTTGCTTTCATGTATGTTTCAAATGCACTTGCAATATCTTTTCCTTAGTAAGAATCCTGTCTGAATGAAATATTTTTCTTTTCCAGTCCCTGTCCTTTTAACTTGTTTCTTCTATTCACTTTCAAACCATCTCTTTTCCTATCAACCTTCTTAGATTAAAAATAAAAGTTATTCATCAATTTCAATCAGATCATTTTAGTTTCCTATGCTCTTCAGCTAACATTCAGATTGAACCCAATTTAAGAAAATTTGCATCTCTTCTAGTTGAAGAAATGTGCTTAGGGGTTTAAAGTGATTTTGAAGATATTTCACTTTTGAAAATAGATTTCCTACAAGGTATGAAATCCAGTGAAACACATTTAGGGCATTAATTTTCGGAAAGTCAGTATCAAACTATTTCCTACAATTCTTGGGTTTTTGTGTTTTTAGAATATTGATATAAAAGCAGGAAATGAATAAGAAAATATCCAAGATCCCAATCCTGTGTTTCTGATGGCTAGGAACAGGATAAAGAGCATCTAAATGTAATGCACTGCTATAGTCTGAATGTTTGTGTCCCTCCAAAATTCATTATGTTGAAACCCCAATGCAAAAATATTAAGCGGTGGGACTTTTGGGAGTTGATTAGGTCATGGAGGCTCCACCTTCATCAGTGGAATTAGTCCCTTAGAAAAGAGACCTGAGGAAGCATATTTACCCCTTTGGCACATGAGAACATAGTAATAAGGTGCCATCTATGAAGCAGATAGTAAGTTCTCACCACACACCAGATCTGCCAGAGACTTGATCTTGGATTTTCCAGGATCCAGAATCGTGTGAAATGAAGTTCTGTTGTTTATAAACTACTCAGTCTTTGGAATTTTGTTATAGCAGTTCAAATGCACTAAGACAGACATGGAGTTTCAAAAGATTCAAATTGGCCTCATAAAAATCTCCAGTCTGGAGGACTCAGGAGAAATAAGACGAGTTTCAGAGATTTCTAGATGAAGCTAGGCCGAGAAAGGCTCCTCAGAAAATATCCACACTGATTCAGGTCCCCAAGAATTTTGAACATAACCTAAAGCTGACTGAGAGAAACACTCTCTGTGGACCCAAACTGATTCTGGAAAGAGTGGGACAGTCAGGACAACTTTGCCCAAGCCTCCAGCTCTTCTAGTTTCCCGTTCTTTTCATGTGGAACTCAGTTCAAAGTACTGGGAAGTTCAGAATTCCCATGAATACTACTTTAAGCTTGAATAATCAATAGTTATATTTCTATCGTCTGGCACCATAGAATTCCAACAAGAATTCTAGCTCTATTGGGAATTTTCTCCATTCTCACTTATCAAGCTGTCTCCCATTCTTTCTGAATAATTAAGAAATCCGTGTGGCCATGCTTTCTCTCAGAGTTAATCATAACAATATTTCCTTTCGAGCTACTGTTTCTTAAGGCATTGGAATGTCAATGGACTACCCTAGTGAAGGCAGCTATTTTTATTGTTTTTCCTCTGAACCACTTCTGCTTCACCAGTCAAAATATTTGTATTCTGTTTATTCTGTCCATTCAATATTATATTTCTCATATGTTATTACCTGTGTACTCTCCATCATCCAGACAGAGCCTGAGGGAGCAGCCGACCTCTGCCACTGCACTTGGCTGAAGGAAACTGGCTGCCATCATCTCTCTCTACACAGGATTCTGAATCCACACTGCAGATGGGACTGTCCACTTCTCTCAGAGCTCCTCTAACCATTACCCCCATGCCTTGGCAAACTTTTCAGCAGTCACCACCGAAGGGCCAACCTTCTCAGTCTTCCATTATTCTCCAAACTCTCATTCTATCCCGATTCTTATGCCCCTAATCACAACCAGTCCCTAATACTACCCCATCTCAGCCCCAAATGCTCTATTGTATCTCTACAACTCAGACTGCTGGATCAGTAGCTTTTAGTATATTTTCATGATTTTTTTCTGAATTTAATGTTCATTATCAGCCCTTAACAGGTATTCATCTAGAACTTTTCAAAAATGTCTCCCCTTTGACCTTTTAGTTGAATGCTAGTTTTCTTTCCTAGTGGTTGGCAAGGTTTCCTCCTTTATCCCCACTTGGGAATCATTCTTCCTGACTCATGGCACATCTGTGAAACATGATGCAACAAGCACAGACTCCAAAATCCAATGGTTCAAACCCCAACTCTACTCCTTACTAGCCTGGTAAGGATTGACAATTATTTGACCTCATTCTGCCTCATCTTACTCATTTTTAACATTTAAAAAATAAAATGACAAAAGCACCTTACTCAAAATGATTTTAAGCCTTATAAAATAAAGACTAAGTAAACTGACATAAACACAGTACCATAAGCATTACTGATATAAAGTAGATCCACTTTCATTACTGAATTAAAGGTTCTAAGAAGAATTGAAATTAAATATAGTTTTCTTTTATTCAACTCTTCAAGGCATTTTAAAATTTATTTTTAAATCATTAAATAAAATTGCATATATTTAATGTGTATGACATGTTTTGAAATATTAAGCTAATTAAAAAATATATTACTTATTTTTTATGGTGAGGACACTTAAGTCTACTCTCTTAGCAATTTTTAAGAGTACAATATATTTTTATTAACTGTAGCCACCATTATGTCCAATGGATCTCTTGAACTTATTCTTCCTAACTGAAATTTTTTATCCCTTGACCAACATCTTCAAGTGTATTTGATCTCAGAACACTCCATTCTCTTTTCCTAATGTAACTCATACGTTTTCTTGAAATTCTTATTGCATAGAATTCGCTTGGAGAAATGCTGATTTTTAATTTCAAACAAAAACAAACAAATAAAAGCATAAGAAAGGTAAAATGAATTCAGTAAGATTATGGTGGTTAATAATAAGTATAAATTCTAAATTACAACCCACATATCCTAGTACTAGAGGATGCAAAAATTTGATTCATAAAAAGAGGACCATAAATAGTTGTTGTAACGGTTCAATAAGCGTTCTTATTAAATAAGCCAATGTTTCATAAATGTTATATCATATCATTATTTGAGAGAATGCTTTTCTTTCTCTGGTTTCAGTGTTTCTGTCTTTTCTTTGGTCTTGCAATTGATTAATTTTTCACAGTTGTTTAGGAGATGATATAAATAAACATATATATGTAGTAAATGCATAAATATTAAATGAGATCTGACAAACACATACATCTGTGAGTGTAACTCACATGCCTACCAGAATATAGAGCATCTTATTCACTCATACTACTTCCCAGTCAATTCCACCAACCCCAGAGAAGCAACAATTTTTATCTGACTCGTTTTCTTTACAATAGTTTAATCTCTTCTAGAACCTCATATAAATGGAATCATACAATATGTAATCATTTATGTTCCATTTCTTTCACTACAATAATGTGCAATGAATCCATATTGTTGCCAATATCAGCACTTTATTCCATTTTATTACTGAGTAATAGTTCATTGTATAAATATGTCATTATTTAGTTGTCCATTCTTGTATGGGTATGTTTTTGGATATTCTCTGTGTATTAGTTTAGGTTCTCCAGAGAAACAGAACCAACAGAATACAAATAGATTTATTATAAGCAATTATCTCATGCAGTTATGGAAGCTGAGAAGTTCCACAATCTTCAGTCAGCAAGCTGGAGACCCAGGAGAATAACTGCTATGGTCTGAATGTTTGTAACCCCCCAAAATTCATATATTCAAATTCTAATCCCCAAGATGATGGTATCAGGAGGTGGGGCCTTTCGGGAGGTGATTAGGTCATAAAGGTGGAGCCCTTATGAACATAATTGGTGACCTTGCCAAAGAGGCCTCAGAGGCAGGGTGCAGTGGCTCACAAATCTTAACACTTTGGGAGTCCCAAGGCGGGTGGATCACGAGGTCAGGAGATTGAGACCATCCTGGCCAATGTGGTGAAACTCCATCTCTACTAAAAATACAAAAATTAGCTGGGCGTGGTGGTGCACGCCTGTAGCCGCAGCTACTCAGGAAGCTGAGGCAGGAGAATCACTTGAACCTGGGAAGTGGATGTTGCAAGCCAAGATAACGCTATTGCACTCCAGCCTGGCGATAGAGCAAGACTCCGTTTCAAAAAAAAAAAGAGGCCCCAGAGACGACTTATAAAGAGGATGTGCCCATTTTACCATACAAGTGACCTCAAAAAAGAGGTCCTGCTCCTTGCTCACTTTACCAAGTAAGGACACAAGTAGAAGGTGCCATCTTGGAACCACAGAATGAGCGCCCACCAGACACTAAGTCTACTGCTACTCTGATCTTGGACTTCTACCTTCTAGAACTGTGAGCCATAAATTTGTCTTGTTTATCAGCTACCCAGTTTATGGTATTTTGTTATAGCAGCCCAAACTGACTAAGACAGTGACAGTGACTCAAGACTGGCATAGTTCCAGTCTTAAGTCCAAAGGCCCGAGAATCAGGAGAGCTGATTATGTAAGCTCCAGTTTGAGTACAAATCCAGTGGTAGAAGACTGATCTCCCAACTTGAATATAAAGGCAGGCAGAGAGTGAGTATTCCCTTTCTGATACTTTTGTTCTATTCAGACCATCAATGGATTATATGATGGCCTTCCTACATTAGAGAGGGCAATCTACTTTATTTAGTCTACAGATTCAAATGCAAGTCTCATCTAAAAACACCATCATAGACACACCCAGGATATTGTTTAACCAAATACCTGGGCACGCCATGGCCCAGTCAAGTTGACACAAAAGAAACCAACACATCCGTTTGGGGATTTGTAAGTGAATTTGTAAATAAACACTTTTATTTCTCTCTAGTAAATCCATAAAAGTGAAATTGTTAGGCTGCCTCATTTTCTAATTTTGGCTAGTCTAGTGGGTATACACTATTACTTAATGTGGTTTTAATTTTCATTTTACTAAATCTTACTTTCTTGATGAAAAATATGGATGAGTGCCTTCTTATGTGTGAGTTGGCCATTTGAATATGTTCTTTTGTGCAATATTTCTTCCAGTCTTTACCTGTTTTTTTGCTGGGTTATTTGATTTTTTATTGTTGAGTTTCAGTTCTTTTTATAGTCTGGATACAAGAGCTTATGAAAAATATATGTTTTGCATATATATTTTTCTAGCATGTGTCTTGCCTTTTCAATTTTTAATGATATCCTTTGATGGACATATGTTTTTAACTTTGATGAAGTCTAATTTCCAATTTTTCTTCTGTAGTTACTTCTGAGTACTGCTTAAAAATCTTTGCCTACTCCCAAGTCATATATAAATAAATATATATAAATATATATTTATATATATATTTATATATATAAAAATATATATTTGTTGTTGTTGTTGTTCAATGACCTTTAGAGTTTAGCTTTTAAGTTTAGGTCTACGATACATATCAAATGAATTTTTCTATATGGGATGAAGCAGAGGTACGTGTTTCTTTTTTTCCATATAATTACCCCATTGTTTTACCAACATTTGTTGAAAATTATTTCATTCTCCACTGAATAACTTTTTACCTTTGTCACTTTTCGGTTCAACTGTGTACATGTGGATCAACTTCTGTTGATCCTGTTTTGTTCCATTGATCTATTTGCCATCATTATATCAACAACATATTGTCATCTTGATTACTGTCACTTTATAGTAATCTTAAAATCAAGTAATGTAAATGTGACATTATTCTTTGTCAAGTTTGATGGTTTAGCTGTTTGTACATTTCCAGGTAAATGTAAGAATTAGCTTCTTAATTTTATTTTAAAATACTACTTTGATTATATCTGAAATTGCATTTAATCTATAAATCATTTTAAGGAGAATGTATATACCTTATACTGAGTATTGTCTTTCATCCATAATGGTTAAATACTTCTTCCCTTATTTAGGCTTCTTTTCATTCCCTTCACCTATATTTTCTCACTTTCAGCATAGAAGTATTGCTTAATTTTTGTTACATTTATTACTAAGTACTTTGTGGTGTTGATATTATAGTAGATGGGCTTTAAAAATTTTTTTATTTTCCAATTGTTTCCTGTAATCATATGAAAATGATATTGCTTTTTGTATATTGACCTTCAATTTTGCTAAATCGATGTATCCAAGTATGTTTTTTTCTGTGAGGGGAGTATAATTATGTTATTTATAAATATTTTCTGTTTTATTTCCTTCTTTCCAATCTGTTCTTCACTCCCATCAGTTCAGTGATGGGTAAGGTTACCAGAACAACACAATAACATTTTGTGGTGGACATTCTTATTTCTGATCTCTAGGATTAAGTAAGTAATGATTAAAGAGTAAAGGATGACGGTAGCTACAGTTTCCAGATGTCATTTACAAAATTTAGGACGTTCTCTTCTATTACAATTTTGCTGAAAAACTTTATTATTGATGAGTGATAAATTTTATAAAATGCCTTCTCTGCAGCTCTTGGTATAGCTATATGTTATTCATACTTTATTTTGTTAATATGAGTTATAGTGATTGATTTTTAAATGTAAAACCGACTTTTCATTCCTAGGATAAAAAGATCATTTAATCAAATCTGTATTATCATTTTTGTATATTGATAAATTCAATTTGGTAATTTGTTGATGCTTACTGTATCTCTGCTAATTAGAGATATTAGACTGAGGTTTTTCTTTTACTGCAATGTTTTGGTCAGATTTTTGCATCAAGTTCATTCAGGCCTCATAAAGTAGGCAAGGAGTGTTCTCTGCATAACTTTGCCAAATGAGGTTGGGTAAAACTGGTACTATTTTATCTTTAAATCTTGATATAATTCACCAGTGAACAGTTTGAAATTGACTTTGTGAATTGTTTTTGATAATGAATTAATTCCTCTATGGGATGTAGGGCTATTCATTTTTTTCTATTCCATCCAATTTCAATTTGGCAAGTTATATTTCTCAAAGAATTTCTCCATTTAATATAAATTGTTTAATACATTCGTAACAAGTTTTTTATAATATATTATCATTTTAAGCTTTATAATTTCTTTAATGATATTCTCTCCTCTGTCTGATACGTTAAATAATTTGTGTTTATTCTCTTTTCGTCTGCATGAGTCTTTCTAGGGCTTTGTTAATCTTATTAATTTTTGCAAAGATGGAGATTTGGGGTTTTATATTTTATTTATGTATTTATTTATTTGAGATGGAGCCCTTGCTCTGTTGCCCAGGCTGCAGTGCAGTGGCGCGATCTCGGCTCACTGCAAGCTCCGCCTCCCAGGTTCACGCCATTCTTCTGCCTCAGCCTCCCCAGCAGCTGGGACTACAGGCGCCTGCCACTACGCCCGGCTAACTTTTTGTATTTTTAGTAGAGACGGGGTTTCACCATGTTAGCCAGGATTGTCTCGCTCTCCGGACCACGTGATCTGCCCGCCTCAGCCTCCCAAAGTGCTGGGTTTACAGGCGTGAGCCACCGTGACCGGCCTTTATTTTTTTAATTTTAGACTTCAGGATACTTGAGCTTGTTTGTTATAAGGACATTACACGCATAATGGTGAGAGTTGAGCTTCTAGTGTACCCATCACCCACATATTAGATATTGTACCCAGTAGGTATTTTGGGTTTAAAATTGTTCTCTAGTGTCTGTTTTTTTTTTTATTTCATTGGTTGCTGCTTTTTCTAATTTTGTTTTTCTACTTATTTTGGATTCAATTTACTGGGTATATTTTAGATTCTTAAGGTAGACATTTAGATCACTGATTTTAAAACCTTTTTCTTTTCTAATATAATAATTTAAAATGGCAAATATCCCTATAATTGCTGCTATACATGCATCTCACAAATTTTGATATATTAGGTAGTTATTATTACCCGTTTAAAAATATTTTCTAAGATCATTTTTATATCTCTTTCCAAAAAGTGTTGTTTGTTTTCCAAATATGGGGGACTTTTCTAGAAATTGTACTATTATTTCATAATCAGAGGATGCACTATGTAATACTCCAATAGTCTGAAATTTATTGAGACTTGTTTTACGGTCAGCATATGAGCTAGTTCGGTGATTTTCGGTATTCATTTAAAAATCATGCATACTCGTTCTGCAGCTTTTGATATCATTATAAATGGATGTCAATTAGGTCAGGGTGAGTAATAATCTTCATATCTTCTATATCATAATGAGTTTTTGTCTAACTGTTCTATCAACTGTGTGATAAAAGTGTGAAAATATTAACCTGTACTTGCAAATGTATCCATTTCTCTGCTTCTGTGTCATGCATTTTGAGGCTCTGTTATCAGGTGTATGCACATGTTTAATCTTTTTTTTGTCTTCGTGATAGTTGTTTCTTTCAGCATTACAAAATGTTTCTCTTTGTGGTAATACTTCTTATGTTGAAGATTATTTAATTGATGTGAATACTGTCAATTAGCTTTCTTATAACTAATTTTTGCATGGAATGTTTCATCCATTTACTTTCAATCAATGTGTGCCTTTATATGTAAAGTGTATCCTCTAAGTAATATAAAGTAATGTCTTGGGCTTTTTAAACCAGCCTAGTTTTCCTTTAATTTGGGGTGTGTAGTCTATTATTTGTATGGAGTGTATACGGTTGGGCTTAAGTCTATCATCTTGCCATGTGTTTTCCATTTTTCCCTTCTTTTCTTATTTTACAGTTGATCCTTCATTTTGCTTTTTTGGGGAGTGCATCAAATATTTTTAGTTTTCCATTTTATTTTTCTTTTGACTTTATAACACCTTCATTACTTTTCTTTTCATTGTCACTATAGAAATTGCGTTATGCATTCTTATATCTTACTACTTCATGTAAGATATTAAAATTTTGAAAATTACAGTTGCTTTTATTCATGTGTTTTGAGCTATTGCTAGTATTCCTTACAAGGAATACTAGTTCACAAAACACTCTTTATTATTACTATTATTATTGCTTTAAATTGCCACATGCCTTAGAACAAAATTAAGGTCTTATGAATCCAATTTTTCCTCCAGTACAGGTTTTCTCTATCAAGGGTAATTTCCTTTTCAGTATTTGTCTGTTTTTAGTTTTTCTCTAGCACCTTCAAAATAATTTTTTCTAAATATTTTTCCCAGAGTTTACTATTTTATATGTGGGAAGATAAATTTGATGTAGGATATTCTGCTGTTACTAAAAGTAGAATAATTACTTTCTTTTCTTAAATAATTATCTGTGGTTAAAAATGTGAATTTTTCATACTTTTACTTAAGAAATTAATAATAAATTATGATATGTTTCTCATCTCCTAACTTTACATTACAATGTTTGATAGTGAGTAGTACAACAAGTACTACCAGCATTACCAGTGAACAAAACTCCTGTGTTATCTGTCAGTGAGGATAGAGTTTGCTTAGAAAGAGTCCTAGGGGGCCCATGTATGCTCTCATTATTGATTCAGCAAATTATTCTACTACAAGGGGCAGTGAATCGTCTGAGCTACACTTTCATCAGTTTTCATTTTAATAAAGCTTCCTGATTACTGTCAGATGATTTAACTACAATAGAGATGTGACTGACTCTTTGGAACCCAAATGTATTACAGATATCCTTTAAGAGATCCCAATTGTCCAGTTATTTTTCCCTTTCAATTTGCAGCTTCTCGGTTTCCCTTTTAATATCATATTCTACTAAAAGCTGTACTTATATCATGACTCTTCAAAGTTGATTAATAGCAAAATGAATCAAATCTTCTAGAGGCTATGAAAAAAGAATCACCATGTTACTAATCAGTGCTAAATAGCTTCACATCCCAGGCACGATTGTTTCTGAGGCTTCCCTGAGCTGATTCCTTTACTTTTGTTATTTAGCTCTGGAAACTTAGAGGCATTCTTATTGACTCACTTTATGAATTGTTGATATCTGGCCCTGTGAACTAGAAAACCATCATCTATTAAGTGTATCAGCTACTTCGCTGTATGCTCTTTTGCCCCTTTACATGTATTCTCCCACTTAATTGTATCAATCAATCAAAGTTTGTCACTCTTATATTCTGACCACTGGTATAAGCCTTCAAGAAAAACATGTCTTTTACGTGATGCCCACCCCAAAATGTACTTCTTGCTCTCTGGCCATATACCTGAATATTGAACTTCCATAGTGAGGTTGTGTCTGATTCTTTAGAGAGACCTGCCCCAATGGCATTGGACATAACTATGTGATATTGTGAATGAGAAGTGTGTGATGTTTTCTCAGTCAACATATAGCCCACCAGAAATGACACAGAGACACTTCAGAAGTATTCAGTTAAACTGATACAGTTTAACTGATATGTTAAACATGTGAGGCCTCATTGTGTCCTCACATGGTCTTTTCTCTGTGTGTGCATATTCCTAGTATCATTCTGTGTCCAAATTATCTTTTCATACGAGAACATCAACCAGATTAGATTAGGGTTCACCCTAAGGGTCTCATTTAATTTAATCACCTTTTTAAAGGCTCTCCCTTAACAGTCATATTTTGAGGATATATTTCAGGGTATATTAGGCCATTCTCATGCTGCTATAAGAAATACCTGAAACTGAGTAGTTTATAAAGGAAAGAGGTTTAACTGGCTCGTGGTTCTACAGGCTATACAGGTAGCATAGCTGAGGAGGTTTCAGAAAACTTCCAATCATGGCAGAAAGTGAAAGGGAAGAAGGCATATCTAACATGGCAGGAGGAGGAGAAAGAGTGAAGAGAGGTTAAACCAGATCTTGTGAGAACTCATTCACTATTAGAAGAACTCACTCACTATTATAAGAACACTATTATAAGTGGGGAGGGATGTCCACCGCATGATCCAATCACCTCCCACCTCCTCCAACATTGGGTATTACAATTTGACATGAGATCCGGGTGGGGACCCAAATCCAAACCCTATCACAGAATTTCAACATACACTTTTAGTGAAGACATGATTCAGTGCATAATGGATACCATCGAACTAACCGAAATATCAAGACATTCCTTTTAAGCCTTAATCCTCAGAGTAACTTTGTGTCAAGTCAAGAATGAAAAAACTTCTATGGGTAAGAGTGTAGGCAGACAGTAGAAAATAGCAGCAGGCCCTAACTATGCTTACACATAAGAATCACATTTATGTTGCATTTATCCTTTTTGTTTAATAAAAGAATCGGCTAAATGTTTAGATGCCCATTGACCAGAAGTGCAACACCTGTGTGTTCTTCGTGGTTATATGTGTTTATGTGGAACATTTATCACCTTTTTTTTGTGGCCCAGAATCTGAACACCATTCTTATGTTTGGAGAATCAATCCCTCACCATGTGAGTCATGGCAAAAAGCAGTGCTTGTCTTTAATCACAGATGTTAAAGTGCCAGATGCTCATTTATTCATTTCCCTTGCATCAAAGGCATGAGCATGTAACCTAGAATGTATTACCTCTGAACTTGATACTGGGAGGTAGCAAACAAGCAGGAGGATGTACCATGGAGAATACATTTTGATGCAGGTGACCGGAGCAGCAGCAGCAACAACAAGGAGTTTCCAGGGGCAGCACTGGCAGCTTATGGTATCAAGTATCAACATGTGGCCACTTTGCAAGCTCCCTACAGGGTTAATCAGCAGCAGTGTGCACACTGGTTTTGTGGCATGATTTTGCCTTTAGTTCTGGCTGCTGCATATCCCTATTATTTCCACCAGTTCTGTAAGTCAGGTTCAGCCACCTGTCTGGCAATTCTTTCTATAAATTTCTTTCCCTAAATCAACGAAAGTAAGTTTTTATTGCTTAAAAATAAGAATTTTTACTCATTAAAGCTTAGTCTTAAGTGAGCCAATATATCTCTACAGTAGTGTGGGGTTGGGGGGTTGGGGGGAGTTGGAGTTGGAGAGAAAAAGGGCATTATAAGGTTCCTGAATTTAGTTTTTAAGGTTCACATAAAACAAATCCAAATTCATCCATGTCACAAGACACAGGATTTTCTTCATTTTTAAGAATGCACAGTATTCCATTGTGTATGCATACCACAATTTCTTTATCCACTGCTGGACACTTAGGTTGATTCCAGATCTTGGTTGTTGTGAATAATGCTGCAATGAACATGAGAGTGCAGGTATCTCTTCAGCATATTGATTGTAGTACCTTTGGATACATACCAGAAGGGAGATTACTGGGCAAGTACTGCGTGATATAACTTATATGTGGAATCTAATAAATTTGAATTCACAGAAATAGGACATAGGATGATGGTTACCAGAGGCTTGAGCAGTGGGGAGAGATGGAATGAGGTGTTGTTGATCTAAGGGTATAAAATTTCAGATAGACAGGAGGAATAACTCTTGAGATCCAATGCAGAGCAGGGTGACTATAGTCAATTATAACGTGTTGTATATTTCAAAATAACTAAATTTCAAACTTCTCACCATAAAAAATGATAGATAAGGGAGGTGATGTATGTTGTAATGAGCTTCATTTAAACAGTCCACATTTTATGCATATATGAGAACATCACATTGTACCTCATAAATGTATACAATTATGATGTGTAAATCAAAAGTATTAATAAAAATTCTAAAAGATAAAAAATTAAACAATAAAAAACAAATTATTGGCAAATAAAAAATAAAGATATTTGTGTTTAATAATAAAAGTCTTAATTTAAATAAACAAGCCCAAGACTTTTTATTCCCTTTTGTAGTTCAGATCTGACTGAATTTATGTCCAGTAGGACTCTTAAAATCAGCTGTACATGTATTTCTCAATGTATACAAAAATCTTTCCAGGGTACATGAGAATTGATAGCATTAAGATAATTCATTGTACACATATATATTTTTGAACCTTTACATATATACTTTTCATATACACATATAAACATATATAAAATGTATGTTGATTTCCAAAAGTAAGGCATTTTAGCCACAAATGATTCCACTGTTCTCTCTCTTCACTTGGCCCCTCTTCCATTACAATTCTCTTTGCATCAGTTGACTTGAGAGTAGCCACAGGTGTTTTTGTGATTTGGTTATGGGAAAGTTGAATAAATGATCTTTGAATTTAACAGGATGAATCTGTGTGGTTTGCAGTCATTTCCTTATACGTACAGTAGTTATTGCTAGTCATTACATTGTAGTTTCCATAGATAGTTCTCCAGAACTCTTGTAGCACACAGAGCCAACTCATTTGGCATTGTGACGAGGAGGTACAAGGCCAGAAGTCATTCTATGCTATGAAGGCCATGAGAGTGCCTGGCAACAAAAGCATGCTGTTATTAGAGCAGAAAGATATTTTAAATTTATGAACTAGGGAGCTTGTCTTCCATGGAGAATTTTTCCTATTATCACATGTATAAAACTATAAAGGGATTGCCCACCTAGTATGCCTCATCAATTTCCAATCAAAATTGAAATTCTCTTATGTCAGAAATTTACTTGTAATGTAGCTATGCAAAATAGAATTTGTCAGAATTCCTGCTTCAGTAGGTCAAAACATAGCAGCAGGGTAAAAGAGTAAACAGATCCACATGAGGTAATATATGAAAAAAAACTGACATTTTCCCCCAAATTTGCCAATTAATCTAAAATTTGAGGATTCTTAGTCATGAATTGTGAGGTTAAAAGAAATTCTTCATAGTGTCAGTACAGTTGTTTGATTAACCATCCCAGAGAAAACACAATGTTATCTTTCTATTCTCTCTAAAGAGTAACATATAAAATTATAGTAAAATTATAGTAAAATTATAGTAACATATAAAATTAAAGTAAAATGTGTCAGGCAGTTAAGAAATAAAAATATTCTGATGATTTTTTAAACTTAATAACTGAGCCTAATACACTACCCAAATACAGTATAATATAAAATGTTAACAGTTTTGAAATAGTATATACCTACACAATAATCACCACAATCAAGATAACAAATATTTCTATGATGTCCCACATTTTCTTCATGGTAATTTAAATTCGTTGTTTTTTTCCCATCTCTAGGCAATTACTAATTTACTTTCTATTACAGATTAGTTTACATTTTCTAGAATTTTATGAGACTGCAATCATGCAGAATATACTTTTTTGCATAGATTCTTTGACCTAGTGTAATCATATTGAGCATGTATGTTATTACCTGAATCAAGAGTTGGTTCTTTATTGTTGCTGAGTAGTACTCTATTATATAGATGGGCCACACTTTGTTTTACTGTTAATCCATTTACTTGTTAATGAACATTTGGGTTATTACAGTTTTGGGCTATTAAAAATAAAGCTATTATGAATCTTTAAAATAATTCTTTGTGCAGGCAAATGTTTTCATTTCTATCAGGTAAATATTTCGGAGTAGGATGGCTGAACAATATGGAAGGTGTATGTTTGACTTTTTAAAACTTGCTCAGAGTATTTGTATAATTTTTTTTTTTTTTTTTTGAGATTCATTCTCGCTTTGTCACCCAGGCTGGAGTGCAGTGGCACGATCTTGGCTCAATGCAAACTCTGCCTCCCGGGTTCATGCCATTCTCCCGCCTCAGCCTCCTGAGTAGCTGGGACTACAGGCGCCCACCACCACACCTGGCTAATTTTTTTTTATTTTTAGTAGAGATGGGGTTTCATCGTGTTAGCCAGGATGGTCTCGATCTCCTGACCTCGTGATCTGCCCGCCTTGGCCTCCCAAAGGGCTGGGATGACAGGCGTGACCCACCACGCCCGGCCTATTTTATGTTCCCATCAGCAGTGTATGGGATGCCAGTCACTCTATATCCTTAACAACACTTGATATGATCCATCTTTTTCAAATTTTAATGAATTGAATTAGTGTGTTGTATTATCATGGTTTTGTTTTGAATTTTCCTAAAGATTAGTGAAATTGAACATGGTTTCATGTGCTTTTTGGCTACTTACATATTTTCTTTTGGAGGTGCCTATTCAGGGCTTTTGAACATTTTTATTAAACTGGGTTGTTTTCATTTTAATTATTGAATTATGAGAGTTTTTAATATATTTTGAATATAAGTTTTTGTTTGACATATGAATACTGATTTTATGAATTGGTTTTCTACCTGTCTGTGAGACTCTTGTTATGTCCTGTGATGGGAGTGCTCCTCTTTTGGGAACTAGATTACCTAAATCTATATTGCTACACATCCTTTGTAACCTGAGGGAGAGATTCTGCTACAACAGAAGTTAATACATGGGAATCTGGGCTACATGCATACTTATGTAGCTTATTTGTTCCTTTGTCCCACTCATGTTTAGTCCTGAATGCATCACTTTTATATTAGAATAGATTATTCCGGGACCCAATTGGCTTATGAACTACTGGTTCTGACAAAACCCAGTTTATGATGGACAGTTATAACTTCATGGTCTCTTGATGCATCAGGGTCAGGTATTTCACCTCTACCAGGAATATAGTTCTCCTCTGCAGACAGCAAACAGTCTGTGTTATGATTCTCCTTTTCGTAAACCTGTTCTAGGCTCTTTTCCACCACTGATATTACTAATATTATAGTATCTGCTGTATCTTCTGGCTTAGATAGCCAAGCTACTGCATCAAGAACTGGTCCTCTTGAGGAATGCTTTCACTTTCTTGGCTTCAGTCAAAGATAATAGTTGAAACAATATTCCTAGGTGCAGAATATGCTGCCTGCATAACAGAAGAAACCTACCAGACACTATACTTTCTGGCAGGTAAAAGATGCAATAATTTGTCCTTCACTTTAAATTCTCCAGCAAGCTCTTGAGCAGAGACTGCTAACAACATTACTATTTTTAGGCCAATAAAACTCATAAGGTTTGTCTCCCATCCTCTGATGGGCTATGGGTCTTATAAAGACCTTCAAAATAGTAAGCACCTCCTGCAAATTCCATCTGATTAATCAATAAAGTGAATGCATGTTTTGTTCTACAGGATACCTAGAGAGACTCAGCCTCCTTAGACTGTATTATGAAGGAGGGTAACAGAGTTATAGCTCTAGGGCAAAACTGTGAATGTATACTATTGTCAATTCCATGTGAATACAAATTACTTATGTTTCTTTTTTTTTCTGACAGAGGAGGAAAAAATACATTCATGAAGTCAAAAATAGCATACCATATGCCTAAGGCTGTTACTAGGCTCAATCCATGATAGCATATTTGTTGCAGATGACATGATCCTATATCTAGAAAACCCCATGGTCTCAGCCCAAATGCTTCTTAAACTGATAAGCAACTTCAGCAAAGTCTCAGGATAGAAAATCAATGTGCAAAAATCGCTAGCATTCCTATACACCAACAATAGACAAGCAGAGAGCCACATCATGAATGAACTCTCATTCACAACTGCTGCAAAAAGCATAAAATACCTAGGAATACAGCTAACAAGAGAAGTGAAGGAACTGTTCTAGGTGAACTACAAACCACTGCCAAGGAAATAAGAGAGGACACAAACAAATGAAAAAACTTTCCATGCTCATGGATAGGAAGAATCAATATTATGAAAATGGCCATACTGCCCAAAGTGACTTATAGATTTAGTGCTATTTCCATTAAACTACCACTGATATACTTCACAGAATTAGAAACAACTATTGTAAAATTCATATGGAACCAAAAAAGAGCCTGGATAGCCAAGATAATCCTAAGCAAAAAGAACAAAGCTGGAGACATCATGCTACCCAACTTCAAACTACACTACAGGGCTACAGTAAACAAAACAGCATGGTACTGATAAAAAACAGACACATAACCTAACGGAACAGAATAAAGAACTCACAAATAAGACTGCACACCTACAACCATCTGGATTTTCAGCAAACCTGACTAAAACAAGTAACAGGAAAAAGATTTTCTATTTAATAAATGGTACTGGGAGAAGTGGCTAGCCATATGCAGAAAATTGAAACTGGACCTCTTCCATACACCTTATACAAAAAATTAACTCAATATGGTTTAAAGACTTAAATGTAAAACCCAAAACTATAAAAACCTTAAAAGAAAATCTGGCAGAACCGGCCAGCCATGTGCAGAAAACTGAAACTGAACCCCTTCCTTATACCTTATACAAAAATTAACTCAATATGGATTAAAGACTTAAATGTAAAACCCAACACTATAAAAACCCTAGAAAAAAAATCTGGGAGAACTGGCTAGCCATGTGCAGAAAATTGAAAACGGACCCCTTCTTTATACCTTATACAAAAATTAACTCAAGATGGATTAAAAACTTAAATATAAAACCCAAAACTATAAAAACACTAGAAGAAAATCTAGGCAATATCATTCAGGACATAGCCATGGACAAATATTTCATGATTAAAACACCAAAAGCAATGGCAACAAATACCACAATTGACAAATGGGATCTAATTAAACTAAAGAACTTCTGCACAGCCAAAGAAACCATGATCAGAGTGAACAGACAACCTATAGAATGCAAGAAAATGTTTGCAATTTATCCATCTGACAAAGGTATACAGAGTCTACAAGGAACTTAAACAAATTTATAAGAAAAAAAAAACCTTAAAAAAGTGGGCAAAGTACATGAACAGACACTTCTCAAAAGAAGACATTCATGCAGCCAGCAAACATGAAAAAAAGCTCAACATCACTGATCATTAGAGAAATGTAAATCAAAACCACAATGAGATGCAATCTCATGCCAGTAAGAATGGCTATTATAAAAAAGTCAAGAAACTACAGATGCTGATGAGGTTGCAGAGAAACGGGAACACTTATGCACTAAGGGAGTGTAAATTTGTTCAACCATTGTGTAAGACAGTGTGGTGATTCCTCGAAGATCTAGAACAAGAAATACCATTTGACCCAGCAATCCCATTACTGGGTATATATCCAAAGGAATCTAAATCATTCAATTATAAAGATACATGCATGTGTATGTTCATTGCAACACCATTCATAGTAGCAAAGATATGGAATCAACCCAATTGCCTAGGCTGGGTAAAGAAAATGTGGTACATATGTATACACCATGGAACACTACGCAGCCATAAAAAGGAATGAGATCATGTCCTTTGCAGGGACATGGATGGAGCTGGAAGCCATTATCCTCAGCAAAGTAACACAGGAACAGAAAACAAAATACCGCAAGTTCTCACTTATAAGTGGGAGCTGATTGATGAGACCACATGGACACATGGGACAGAACAACACACACTGGGACCTGTCAGGGATGGGGGCCAGGGAAGGGAGAGCATCAGAAAGAATAGCTAATGGATACTGGGTTTAATACCTAATTGATGGGTTGATCTGTGCAAGCAAACCACCATGGCACATGTTTACCTACGTAACAAACCTGCACATCCCGCACATGTAACCCTGAACTTAAAAGATGAAGAAAAAATAAAGATAGCACATTTTGCATGGGGACTATAATTAAGGCCATTACTTGATTGAATTTGTAGTAATCTACTATCCTTCTCCAGGATCCATGTAGTTTTTGCAAGAGTCAGACTGGTAAATTGAATGCAGGTATGATGAACATCACCACACCCACATCCTTTAGATCTATATGAGTGGCATTAATTTCTGACATCTTCCTTGGATAACTTAGTGTTTTTATTGTACTTTCTTGGCTTGGGAGAAAAGGACAGGAGTAAGAGGCTTCCATGTGGACTTTGCTCCTATAGTAACTTTTGCTCCACAGCCCAGAGATCCTATGTGAGGCTATGTCAACTACTAAACATGTCTATTTCCATTATACATTATACATTCAGAGAATAGATACATTGGCCAAGAATCCATTCATTATTTTTCTCCCATTTTTCCTTACTCTAATAGGGGGCCATAATGACACTTAAAACACACTCAGTGAACAAAATCTTACTTTTGTCAACTGCAAGATCTCTTCTGATACCCAATACTGCTTCTCGTTCCAGAAGAACTAATTACAAAATGGTTGTGTTTGATCGAAAGATCACAAGCAGTTTTCAATTGTAATCAAGTCCTAGAAATCTGACACAGTAAATTAAAAATCTAGTCACAGCAACTGTATTTTCTTTCAAGTGGCTATTCATCCCAGCTTGCACAGGAAAATCCTAGTTTCCATGGGGCTTAGAATTCACTAGCGTGACAAGAGAAAAATAATTTAAATTGGGATAAAGGATGAAAAATCTTGATTTACCGCAAGTTATTTAGTCTCAGTATGTCAAAACGCTGCAAATGTGCTTTCTGTTCTCTACGCCACGGTCAAGACTTACTTAACAATTAACTATGGCACTATTCCCATAGAGCACAAATAACGCTTTCCAGATTTTTCTGTAGCAAAGCGATCCTAAAATTAGTCATTTCAAACAGGACAGTGTGAAAAGTAATACCAATAATAATTGCACCAAGAAAACGCAAATGGAATAGGTATCTTAAATAAGTGTAGTTTAAAAATATTGAACATTAGCCGGGCGCAGTGGCTCACGCCAGCACTTTGGGAGGCCGAGGTGGGCCGATACCTGAGGTCAGGAGTTCAAGACCAGCCTGGCCAACATAGCGAAACCCTGTTTCTACTAAAACTACAAAAATTTTCCAGGCGTGGTGGCAGGCGCCTGTAATCCCAGCTACTTGGGAGGCCGAGGCAGGAGAATCGCTTGAACCTGGGAGGTAGAGCTTCCAGTAAGCCGAGATCATGCCACTGCATTTCAGTCTGCGTGACAGAGCAAGACTCTGTCTCAAAAAAAAAAAAAAAAAAAAATCCTTTCTGTGATAGGCCACGTTTATATAGTGTGTTAATTTATCTCAGTTAATCCCCATAACAACAGTACATTGTCAGTACTATTATTATATCCATTTTACAAAGAGAAAACTGAAGATAAAAGATGTTAAAGAACTTGACTAAAATTACACAGCATATAAGTAGTGGGTCTGTGATATAAATCTAATATTTCTGATTCTGGAGCTTGTGTTTCTACTGTTATATTCTATTGTTACCCAAGATCTGCACTATATCTCATTATTGGTTAAATTGCCAGTCACCTACAGGATGATTTCAGTGGTTTCACACAGAAACTACTAAAAACCCCTTTTTCCACCAGTTTAAAGTGATGCTACTAAACATCTTGCTTAGAATTATTAAAAGTTCTTGAGTGAAGTAAAAATAACAGCAGCAACAAATGGAAAGAAGAAGGAATGGAGGCACTTTCTCCAAAATGGTTTGACTAAAAAGCATTAACTCATTTAAAAATCAATCTTCATTATTTACAGATTTCATATCTTCAAATTTGCCTACTTGCTAAAATTTATTTGTAATCCTAAAATCAATACTTGGGGCACTTTTGTGGTCATTTGTAGACATGCTCAGAGCAATGAAAATTTGTTGCCAGACTTGCACATTCCCAGCTGAGGTCAAATAAAGCAATACTCTGCCTTCTTGCTTCCACTATTATACAGTATACTACAGTATACGAGTATCCTTTTCTGTTCTATTTAATGTGACGTTTCACAATTTTGTGCTTTATATTAGTGATACTGCTGTTTAAAATGGCCCCCAAGCGTAATGCTGAAGGGCTGTCTACTGTTTCTACATGCAAGAAGGCTGCAATGTGCCTTATAGAGAAAGGATGTGAGTTAGGTAAGCCTCATTCAGGCATGAGTTAGAGTGCTAGTCATGAGTCCAAAGTGAATGAATCAACACTATGTGTTAAATAAGGCGTCATTAAACAGAAACACAAATAAAGTAAGTTTGTGTGTTTCTTAGCTGTTGTATATGTTGTGGCCAGAAGCTCAAAGGAACCTAACCCTATATTTCCCCTAGGAGCAATGGTTCAATATTCACTAACTCAGTGTTTGTGGTGACTTTATAGAACATAACTATCATGAATAATGGTAATTGACTGCATTTATTCATTTATTCATTCACCATTTAGTGTTACTAAGAAAGAGAACCAGTCTCTTTCCATGTTTATATTATGTAATGAGAAATCTGACTACAGTTTTTGATATTTAACTGCTAACAGCTTTTAAGTCTTACTCCTCCTTCTCCTTTTTGTGCCTCACATGTGACAAGCTGATAAGAAAACCCAGATGCCATCTTCTTTGGCACTAGTGGGAGATTCCAACCATGTAAGCTCCTACTCATAAACCACAGTGAAAACTCAAGCCTGTCTCCTTTCCTTGCTCTCTTGCACCATTTCGAGCCTGCTTGAGAAGCCTGCTTTCCCCAGAGACTTTAATGATGAAAGCAATAATCCTTTTTATACCCTCTTTGTATGTTTATGGTAGCTTCTGTCCTAACATTGAAACCACATTTTGGGTGGGTGGTTCTATCTGCTTCAGCAAGTGACAGTAATATATTAATACACATTTATTTTATAGCTTTAATGAACTAATGTAATATGTCACTTTATATTTCTAAGAGATCCTAACTTTGAGGGACAAGGTATACAAAAGATACATTTCAGAGAAGGAATCAGAATGATGTGTGAAGAGGTAGGGCTCCAAGTCAAAGATAGCTCCATGGGGATGAGCAAGCAGGGGTGTATTTAATCCACATGAAAGCAAAACACTTCGTACATAGAATGCATTCAAATGATGGCTTGCATTTTACTTGTTTTTATTTATGCTCTACATCCTTTCAGGTTCGGATGTTTTTTCTTTTTCTTGTCATGATGGTCAATGGAATTTATGGACATTTTCCAAGTTTCCAAAACAATAAGAATTTGTCGAAATGATAACCTGACAAATATTCAGAGTTTCCCTCAAACCACAAAACATCCAAATCAGCAGGATTTAGAAAATAAACTATTGATCTAAACACACGCAGGTCTTTGTAGTGCTCTTCAAGTAACATATTGCTACCTAGCCCTAGGCATGGATTTTACCAGGCCTAAAAACAGAAACAGGGATAAACAGAGGTATCAACTAATGTGAAACACTTTCCAGTTTATAGGTCAATCTTTTCTGTCCCTTCAGACCATTAAGGCAGGTCTAACACCTAGAATTCATTCCAAATTACAAAACCCACCACTATAAGAACAGAACAGGTGCCAGGATCCAAAATGTGTATAAATTCCTCAATATTACCCAGAAGAATTTCTAAACAGTTTCTATTTTCATCAGAAAAAGCTGGTATATACTGCTGCTGCCACTGGAGAGGACAATTAAGAGTTTGTTAAATGAGGGCAAAAAAAGAAAAACACCTCTCCAGATGCATACTTTAAAACACTAGAATTAAGAGTATCATTATCTAAATTTTTCAAAAGAAAGATTGCTCAAGCCCAGTGATATTGCTCACAGAAGTAGTAGCAGTGGCTTCCGCTGCCTTCTTCCACATGGCCTGCTTCCTGGCTAGGAGCTGTATTTTACCTAGAGAACTTACTTTGCAGGTATTACTCAAGTTGTTCTCTGAACCTAAAACACTTACACACTGAATTTGAACTTAGACAGGAAGCCTGTTGTATGTTTCTCCTTTTCCTGTTCCTCACATTTAGATGAATAAAGGCACATGTTTTCCCTAGGAGGTAAAGCAAAATGTGGAGACTGGCTTTCCTTTGAAAGCATTTTGAATAAAGTACTTACAGGTCTAGGTTGGGTGAGAGGTATAAAATAGTATGACTTTTTTTTCTCCTTTTCCCTTGGATTATCAGAAGTGAAAATTATAAAAAGTTCCAGATATTTTTATCACCATAGTCTCATCTAAAGTACCTATAATAGTTACATTTTTGTAGCTGAGAGTATTATAGGTCAAAAAGTTTCTGGCAATCTCCAAATGTTGTCTCCCGAAAGCCACCTCCTTCCTTTACTATGTTAACAGCACCCCCAAATTGTTCACCTATCCAGTAACTGTGTGTTTCAGGGGACACTAAGCCTGTCTTCAACAATCGTGGTATCATTTCCTTTGCTAGTGACTATGCACAAGGAATGCAATTTAGCCATGAGACATTGTGTAAAGTGTTCTGGGGTTAGTTTTATTTTTGGAAACTTGTATTTGTTCTTAAAAGGGAACCAAGGAAAAGGCAGCCTTTTTTCCAGCTTTTTGCATTGCTGTGTGAGAATGAAAGCCTTGAGATGGTGCATGCATTTTATGATGGTGAGGGAGAGATAATCTGAAGACAAAAAAAAATAAAAACTCTGGGAAGATGGCAAAATATTAAATCAAGAGAATCTGGAACATTTTGCTTCTGGATTACCTTTTCATCCTCTATTTGAACATGTTATGTTAATTAATACATTTTCATTTTAATTAAACACATTTTTAGAAAGTGCTTCTGATAGTTTTAGGATAGAGCATTCCTAAATAGCATCTGCAAATCCATAGCACATGTAATTTAGTCAACTCAAGATACAAAACCAGATTTTTCTGACTCCAGACTCTGGGGCCATTTTAATATTATAGTTACTTCTTGTCCCATGTTAGTGTGTAATAGCTAATTATTTAGAAGAAGGCAACATATTGAACTTAATTTCCTTACCAACATAAAAGTAGAATTCTGTGAAACGTTAGAAAATAAGAAAAAAAGCTAGATTTGTTCATGTGATTACTACATGTCACATACTTATATTGCTCAATATTCATTGTGGATGATGAAGTTACTAAAATTTGAATAATTAATTATAAGATATTTTAAAGATTTTCATTTAGCACTCACTTCAGATTTCAAAATCTAGATTCTCAGTTCTTCTTTATGCCTGTCTCTAGTTCTCAATTACAGGTTGTCTTGAATTCTTTCTGTTCTAAGAACAAATTTATCAACCTTACACCATCACCACCATCATCATTATTTTCCTTTGATGGATGAGTGTAGTGAAAAAGGAAGTATCTCTAGGGAAAGCTTCTTTGTCATCTATCACTTCCACCATATATGACCCAAATCCTAACCAACAATATTTTCTCCTTAAGAGAGGCATTGAAGTGAGATACTGACATCTTCAAACTGTGTCTACAGACTCCTTTCCTGTTCAAGACATCATTGGCACCAGGTCTCACACCTAAGCACCTCTCCATGCCTGTCTGTTGCATACTATTATATTACAAATCACCTGCTCCACATAGACTTTCCTGACCTCTTCAGGCTAGCAGGCACAATTCCATAATATACTGAGTATAGTTCCACCTATCCGAAGATTTTCAGTGTCCCCATTGTCTTTGTAAGCACATTTAGGCAAATACTATTTGACATGCCTCTGATTATCTCTTGCATTTGTTGATGTTCATTAAATATTTCATGATATGTATATATCTAAATATATATATTCCAGAAATCAAACCAAATTCAATGTAAATACTATATGATATAAATACTGTATGAATTTATACTGTATTCAGTATAAATATTGTCCTAAAAGCTTTAATTCTATTAATAATTAATCATCAAAATAACCTGTATAGCATAGGTAATTCATTTTACTATTCCCATTTTCATAGAGAAAGAAAGCAAGGTTAAGTAACTAACCCAAAATCACACAACTAGGAATTGGTGAAGTAAGAATTTGAATGCAGGCAATCTTGCTTCAGAGTCCATGAAGCTACTATATTATGCTTCCTTCCTGTAAACATTCATCAGCTACCCATATGACTCAAGCTGTACTCCTTACTGACTTCACAGTGCTTGCTTTAATTAGAATCTAGTTCTCTTAGAAAGCAGATATGTTGAAAAATATTAATGATTAAGGAGCATTGTAGAAGAGATTATCATCTGCAACCACAATGTATACTCCCTCTTCCTGAATATAGACTTGTTACTGGGGTAGCTATCTAGCAGGGATTACATTTCCCAGTCTTCCTGCATCTAGATGCATCCATCTATCTAACCTATTGTGAAAGAAAAAACTTGTATCACTTTTAGGGAAACATTTTTTATATCTTTTTCCTCTTACCAGCTGGATGAAGACAAGTATAAGGCCCTACTAGAAAGTAAAGCTAAATAATAAAGGAGCATGAGTTCCTGTGGGTCCTTCTGGGAGGACAGTCACCAAATACTGGGAATATTCATATGTAACTTTTAGGTAGGCACCAAAAGTCATTTATTGTTCTGAGACTTTATTCCATTTTGAAGACTGTCAGTAACTAACACAAGCATGTTACAGATGCAGGAATGTTATAGATAGTTGCCTACCTGATTCATACTATATTTTGTGAGCCAAATACTTTTATTTCTATAAAAACTATGGTTCTGAGAGATTGATTAGATTGACAAAGGTGATACAGTTCAAGAGTGTCTGACTCCAACAGCTATACCATGCTACAACAATGCACTATTTATAACATTAGAACATGCATCTTGCTTCTGACTTTAAGTATTACAAATCATAACACTTTTTTGCTGTCATATGGGCACACCATTCTGAAAAACAGAACTTTCTAAAAGACATTAATCCTCTCACTTCTTCCTGATTAATAAAACTCTGGTTGGTCTTGGTGCAGTCCTTTGTATTTGGCAATGTTAGAACAATGGGCTTCTCAATTTTGACATTCCCTTGCTGTCCAAGTAACAAGTTTATCTGAGAGATTTTGAGAAAGCTTTTCTTGCCTTCTGAAGGAAAGCAAACAAACAACTGATTCTCCTTTTTCCTGCTTAAATATGGATAGAAACATGGGAGCATCCCTATTCACTTGTAACCACGAAGAAAAGGCCAAGACCATTGCAGAGAGGTGTGAATCAACTCCAATAACAACTCACAACTCAACTTTTTATATGAGAAAAAATTCCTATATGTTTAAGCCATAGTGTTTTCCATTATTTAGAGCTAAAAACAATCTTTACCAAGGAAATTATCATTCAGTAGTTTTTTTTTTTCAATATAATCTTACCAATTTATACCAACATCCCATCAGGGTGCACTATATCTTTATGACAGTCTAATGACTCTTTATCAATACTTGAAAATTTCGTTTCAATTTACTATCAGGTAAGGCATTTATTTTCTATAGTATGTCTTTATGGAAGAGATTAGTTTGTTAAATATAAAGGGTTTAACTTGTTTAATATGCATTCTCACTAACTGTGTCTTTGTCATGGAAGATTGGGGAAAAGGAGAGGAGTGAGGAAATCTGTGAAGTAGGGAACACCAAATAAATATTTTGATATTTGATATTAAAAATACTGAATCAGATAAGTTACAGAATTCAAAGGAGTGACTGAGAATCCTTTTCTATTTTTTAGCTTTATTTGCTGTGCAACCGTGAGCAAGTTGATTTTCTATTCTAAGTTTTGGCTTTCTCAGCTATAGGACAGTACTAAAGACAGTATGAAGTTTACTGATTGTTGTAAGTTTTCAGTGCCATGCACAAGTGTTATGCACATTGATAACCCTCAAAAACAAGCACTATTGTTTTCATTGTCATCATTATCCAATATTGATAATGGTCCTGAAATGTCAAAATATCTCTACTAAAGACACTATGTGAGTCCTTGAAGTGATTTAAGAGGATGGCTATATGTTCTCTAATTTATTCTGCATGGAAACTATATAGTAACTTGACAATTAGAACTTGATTCATTAGAATGAATGCATCATGGGATGCATTAATTTACTTGATTGCCTTTTAGTTTTACAACTACCTTAACTTAAAGCTAACTTTTAAATTTAATAAAAGAGACAAAAACAATGTGCAACTTATGGCACAAGCTAATGATAAGGATATTAAGCAACTTTCTATTCTCTACCGAAAGTTATTTTAAAGTATAGATAAACAATGCTGCTAGGAAGAAATTTTAGGTAAGTCGGCAACTTTCAAAAGAAATTGGGGTCTGTAGAGAATATTTGTCCTTTGTATAAACTACTTTTAATTCAGTGCTTTATCCTTCTAGGTTAAGGGTTATTTTAACCTCTATGAAGTATGAGAAAATTTAGATAGCCCTACAGTCTCTTTTAATTTACCTTTCTCTGCTTTTAAAATAATAGAAAAAAAATGGCCATTTAAATGGATAAGACATCAGGTTGGAACTTGATTAAGTACTTCGAACCATTAGAAACAGACTCTGTAAAGTCATTTGATCTTTATCTCTTTTGTAGTTTATTTTAATGTCAGGAAATATTTTACATGCCCTGCCTTCCAAATCAGGTAATTTTGCAAATTTAAAATTTTTGTGTGGCAATCCTTTCATTGCTTTGATATTAGGCTACTAAATGTAATCTAGAAATAAGTTTATACCTAATTCTGAATCAAAATTTTCTGCACAATTTGCTGGACAAGCATTCAGAAATCCAGCTTCTATACCAGACACTGACCCTCAACTCATCTTGTGTCATGTAGGAACCCATCTTCCTTCTTTTAGCCTTAATTTCCTCAAATTTAAAAGCAAAATAATTGGACTGGAACTCTATGGCTACAGCTTCTTCTGCTTATACAATTTTCCTTATTACAATGCTTACTATGGTCAGAGTTTTCTTGTGTAGTAATATAGGACATAAGAATCCTTGCAGTTTTTAGGAAAAAGTAAATTTTTCCCATAGAAAATTAACAAACATTATCAACAGGAAATTTACAGAAGAAGAAACACATGAAAAGTAGGCAGACTTGGCCGGGCGCGGTGGCTCACGCCTGTAATCCCAGCACTTTGGGAGTCTGAGGCGGGCGGATTATGAGGTCAGGAGATCGAGACCGTCCTGGCTAACGCGGTGATGAAACCCTGTCTCTACTGAAAATACAAAAAATTAGCCGGGTGTGGTGGCAGGCGCCTGTAGTCCCAGGTACTTGGGAGGCTGAGGCAGGAGAATGGCGTGAACCCGGGAGGCGGAGCTTGCAGTGAGCTGAGATCGCGCCATTGCACTCCAGCCTGGGAGACAGAGCAAGACTCCGTCTCAAAAAAAAAAAAAAAAAAAAAAAAATGTAGGCAGACTTATTAGTAATCAGGGAAAACAAACAAGAGATAAGATAGATTTTTTCACCCGTCAGATTGTGACCAATTGGAAATTTTGATAATATTAAGTATTATTGATGCTGTGGGGATAGATATCTCTCATTCATTGCTGGGAGGAGGACATATCAGTTTAGCTCCACCTGGTCTCTCCCTTGACACGTGGGGATTATGGGGACAATTCAAGATGAAATTTGGGTGGGGACACCAAGTCTAACCGTATCAGACTTACATAGAAATACTTCCATTTTCACTTTGTAAAATATTCTCTATTGGAATAATGACAACCATAGTAACCCATATTTGTAAAACACTTTAGAATCCTATTTATCCTTGTATTATATGTAGGCAGGTATTATTATAACTATTCCACACCTGATAAAAATGAGAATTATTGAATAAACTATTTGAACAACTTTAAAAAATGAATATGTGGCAAAAAAGGAACTCAAAATAAGTTTTTAATACAATTAAAATTATATTTTCATTCTGGTCTTACTAATGGAGTAATGTACATGAAAATGGCTGGCAAACGTTGAACACCATAGGAATGTTAGATGGTATTTACTGTCATTAATTTCATTATTAGGCATAAGATAATTAATGTACAATGCCAACCATGTTTCTGTAAAAAACTGCATATGTAGAAGATCCTCCCTGAAGCAGGGCCCAGGAGATAACCACAATGAGACTGTTTAATTAAACAGGTGTAAGTGAAATAAAGGGAAGCAGAATCAAAAACATTTGATTCTATGAATTACATATGAATTGGTTTATAATAACTATATTAAGAAAACAATAGCTGGGCAACTGATGACTTAAGCTACTTGAATGAAGCCAATGTTCCAAATTACCTAGCTACTGAATATAAAGCATATTTAGCCCACAAACTCCTGAGAATACGGGACACTTTATACAATGGCACAATAAAGTACAAGCAAACTGAATGTGCTTCCTCAAAGCCTTAAAAAGAGTTCTCATTTTTGACTGCATGAAATCTGTATAAAGTAAGTCACATCAATGTCTGTCTGCCCAAACCCCCTTTTAAGGAAGTTCTTGCTCAAGGATTCACATATTCCAAGGAAAGTCAACCTGTATGCTGTTCTGTTATCTGTTCTTCCAGTTATCAATTGTATTGTCTACCACTTCCAAGTCCATTCTTCATTGCCAGATCTGCAATAACAGAGATGGACCCTGTAAATATCCTTGGTCAACTGTCACGTTGTTAAGTGCTGTCATTAGAGGGCAGTAGATAAACAGTACAAAAAGAAAGGGTTTCTCTTCTTGGATCTGAGCTGTTCCTCTTGCTAAGTTCCTGCAGTTCAGGTGGCTGTTTCAGAGCTCAGCAGTCAGTAGCTCTTTCCCAGACACCCTTGGAGACGAGGCACATTCCTATGAACGCTTCTCTGAGAGACTGTTGGGAGGCCTTACAGCAAGTTATAAAAACCGAAACTCCCAGTAGGCAATTTTCCTTGATGTCCCAAAGAGCAGAATTTACAAAAGTCCTGCTACAACATCTCAGTAACTTATCTACCATCCTTTATCCATAGTTGTTCCCTCTCCAGACAGGTCTGGATCTGAGCCCGGGATGGGGGAGAGCTTTAACATTCTGTTCCTTCCTTGGTCACCAGATCTAACCCCAGAGCTAAAGCCTACTCTATATGTGCCACTTCTTTACTCTTTAGAATTCTCCCTCTTCTTTTCTTACTACCAAATCCAATCACGTGTCATAATTAATAATACTTTAAAAATATGTATTCAGATATAAATCACATACATTCATCAAGACCAACTTAAAGGGTACAATTCAATAGTTCTTTAGTATATTCACAAGATTTTGCGACAATGACAAACATCTAATTCCAAAACACTTTCACAGTCCAAAAAGAAATCCTACACATGTTAAGCAGCCACACCCCATTGTTTCACCTACCAACACCTTGCAACCATTAATCTACTTTTTATCTGTGGATTTCTTTCTCTATGCCTATTCTGAAGGTTTCATATAAGTCAACTCAGACAATAGGTAGCCTTTTGTGCCTCCTTTCACATAGCATAGTTTTCAAGGTACA
Organism: Homo sapiens; assembly: GCF_000001405.40. NCBI lineage: Eukaryota > Metazoa > Chordata > Mammalia > Primates > Hominidae > Homo > Homo sapiens. Next base: position 52,811,457 of record NC_000002.12, read on the forward strand.
TCCACGTTTTAGCATGTGGTAGTACTTTCTTTTTGTGTGTGGCTGAGTAATATTCTATTCTGTGAATATACCACATAGTGTTTTATCATCAGTTGATGAACATTTGAGTTGTGTCTGCTATTTGACTGTTACAAATAAGACTACAAAGATTCAGGTACAAGTTTTTGTGTGAATGTGTATTTTTAATTCTCTTGGTTATATACCTAGAAGTATAATTGCTGGCTTATATGGTAACTCAATGTTTAACATTTAAAGGAAAGACCAAACTGATTTCCACATGGCTGTGCCATTTTACATTTATACATAACGCCATGTATGAGGATTACAATTTCTCTACATTTTTGACAAGGTTGAGGAAGTTTCTATAATTTCTAGTTTGTTAAGTGTTTTTTTAACTAAAAAAAAAATAGAGGTGTTGTATTTTGTCAAATGCATTTTTTCAATTAGCCAGGTCATGTGCCCTTCCCCTCCTCTCTCTTAATATGATGTGTCAAATTAATTAATTTGTATATGTTGAAAAAATCTGGGATTCCTAGGAAAAATCCCACTTGATCATGGTGTATAATTCCTTCATATGCCGATGAATTCAGTTCATTTGTCTTTTGCTGTGATTTTTGCAAATATATTCTCAAGTTATATTGATCTGTAGTTTTATTTTCTGTTGGATCTTTAAATGTTTGGTAGGATTCACTGGTGAAATCATCCAGTCCTGGGTTTTCGATGTTGTTGGCAGTTTCTTATTACTAATTCAATCTCTTGATAAACCTGTTGAGTTTTTCTCTCTCTTCTTCATTCGGTTTTGATAGTCTGTGTCTTTCCAAGAATTTGCCCATTTCATCGACATTACCTAATTTGTTAGCATACAGCGGTTTGCAGTTTTAGAATCCTTTTCATTTTTATAGAGCTAATAGTAATGTCCCTTTTTTATTCCTGATTTTAGTAATGCGAATTGTCTAATTTTTCTAGGTCAATCTTGCTAAAAATTTGATTTGGTTGTTTGCAAACAACTTCTGATTTCATTGATTTTTCTCTATTGTCTTTTGCTCTTCTCTTCAATTCATTTATGTGCTAATCTTTGTTACTTCTTTCCTTAGGTTCGCTTTGGGCTTAATTTAATTTGGTATTTCAAATTTCTTAAAATGAAAGTTAGTTATTAATTTGAAACCTTCTCTTTGGGTGTCTAGAGCTATAAATTTCCCTTGAGTACTGCTTTGGGTGCATCCTATAGTTTTCCATAGGTTGCTTTTACTTCTATAAGTCTCAAAATATTTTCCACTTTCCTCTGTGATTTATTATTTGACTCATTGGTTATTTAGGAGTATGTTGTTTACATTTAACATATTTGTGGCTTTTTAAATTTTCCTCTTATTTTCAGTTTTAATCCATCGCGATCAGATAATTACTTTGTATGGTTTCAATTACTATAGATATATTGAACCTTTTTTGATGGCCTATTCTAGAGAATGTTTCACATGCAACTCAAGAAAATTCTATATTCGGCCATTTTGAGAATATCATTTGTAGATATGTTTTACATATAGTTTGTTTACAGTGCTTTTTATGTCTTCTGATTTCTTGCTGATATTCTCAGTAGTTAGTTGTTTGAGCCATTATTGAAAGTAGCATATATAATTTTCCAATTATAGTTACTGAATTGTCTATTGTCCCTTCAATTTTACGTTTTTTGTCATATATTTAAGAACTCTTTGTTAGGTAAAAACATGTTTACAAATTTTATATCTTCTTAAGTTGATCTTTTCATTGTAATAAAATGTCCATCTTTGTATTTAGTAACATTTTTTGTCTTAAAGTCTATTTTATCGGATATTACTGAAGCTATCTCAAGCACTCTTTTTATGCTATTTGTATGGTCTGTCTTTTTCTATTTATTTTGAACCTATTTGTGTCTTTTGTTTTTTGAGACAGAGTCTCAAAAAAGGTTTTTTCTAAGTCTGTGAAAAATGAGACTGGTAGTTTGATAGGAATAGCATTAAATCTGTCGATTACTTTGGAAAGTATGTCCATTTCAATGTTATTGATTCTTCCAATCAATGAGCATTAAATGGTTTTGCATTTGTTTGTGTCATCTGATTTGTTTTAGCATTGTTAGAGTACTCCTTGTAGGATCTTTCACCTCCTTGGTTAACTGTATTCCTAGATATTTTAGTTTTTGTTTCCATGGCTATTAAAAATGTGATTCCATTCTTGTTTTGGCTCTCAGCTTGAATCCTTTTGGTATACAGAAATGCTATGGATTTTTGTACATTGGTTTTTGTACCTTAAAAACTTACGGAAAATTTTTATCAATTCTAGGATCTTTTTGTTGGAGTTTCTAGGGTTTTCTGAGTAAAGCGTCATATTGTTAGTGAAGAGAGATAATTTGACTTCCTTTTGTCCTATTTGGATGACTTTTATTTCTTTCTCTGGACTGATTTCCCTTGCTAGGATATCCAGTACTGTGTTGAACGGGACTGGTGGGAGTGGGCATACTTGTCCTGTTCCTGTCCTTGAGGGGAATGCTTCTAGCTTTTGCCCATTCAGTATGATGTTTTCTGTGGGTTTGTCCTAGATCGCTCTTATTATTTTGAAGTATGTTCCTTTGAAGCCTAATTTGTTGAGGGTTTTTATCATGAAGAGATGATGGATTTCACTGAAAGCCTTTTCTGTGTCTATTGAGATGATCATATGGTTTCTGTTTTTAATTCTGTTTGTGTGGTGAATCACATTTATTGATTTGCATATGTTGAACCAACTTCGCATCCCAGAAATAAAGCCTAGTTGATTGTTGTGAATGAACTTTTTGATGTGTTGCAGGATTTGGTTCGCTAATATTTTGTTGAGAATTTTCGTGTCTATGTTCATCAAGGATATTGGCCTGTAGTTTTCTTTGTTTGTCTTTGCCAAATTTCGGTGTTAAGGTGATGCTGGCTTCATAGAATAAGTTAGAAAGGAGTTTGTCCTCCTCGATTTTTTTTCAGAAAAGTTTTAATAGAACTGATAATAGCTCTTCTTTGTATGTCTGGTAGAATTAAGCTGTTAATCCATTTGGTCCAGGGCCTTTTCTGTTGTTTGGATTTATATTACTTATTCAATTTTGGAACTCAATACTTGAGAATATAGTTGCAAAAATCACAGCAAAAGACAAGTGAACTGAATTCATCAACATATGAAGGAATTATATACCATGCTCAAGTAGGAGTCACTGGAGTCACTGCTGATTCCTAGGAGTCATTGCTGGAGGGCTAGTGTAATCCTTAGATGGCATCACAACATTCAGATTTTTCATGGTGCCAGATTCTCGTGCTGATTTATTCTCATCTGGAGATGGTGGCATTCCTAATTTTGTACATATATTAATGAAGATAGAATTGTTTTTTCTTTCACTTTCCTCACTCCCTAGGGGATGTTACTGTAGAGATTGTTGAGTAGGGTTTTTTTGACTTTATTTCTATATCCCCGTGTAATTCTGTTGGCAGGTTCTATATTGGGCTGTGTGGTTTGATCTACAGGCCTGTAGATGGTACTTATAGGTAAGAGACAGCTATAGCCAATATGGATGGTCATATACTTGATCCTTGCTTACTGGACGAAGCTCTCTGTTGCATCAAGTAATGGGCTTATCCATGGAGTACACAGTGGTTTGAGGTTTCTGCTCATCCCAGGGTGGGGCAAGATGGGCAGGTCTGGACCAGGCAGTCCTGCTTACACATCCCCCAATGGCAAGTACAAGCACCAGAATGGAGGGGGACACAGTAGGTAGCAACCAAGTGCCCCAGAGGTGTGTTTAGGCATGGAGCTGAAGAGCACCTTGGCCCCAAGCTCTCTGCATGTTGGTGGGGACGCTAACCTCCTACTCCAGAAAAGTGTGTGCTCCAGATGCCTGGAAATCTGCATAAGTGTGGAGTGTAGAGGGCCCTACTACACTACAATCTATTCAGAGCAAGGGTGGGGTGATTCAGCTGGTTATCCAGGTGAACAGGTGCTCCAGATGCCTGGAGATCTTCCTGAGCATAGAGTGGAGAGAACCCTGCTTCACCACACCTCTGCACAGGAAGGATGGGTGGCTCAGGCCATCCAGGTGAGTAGGAGCTTTGACTGCCTAGAAATCTGCCTGGAAGTGGAATGTAGAGGGCCTCACTGTACCATGATCTAGAGAGCATATATTTGAATCATGCTTTTTATTCCTTCTACTAATATCTGCCCTTTAATTTGAAATTTAAGCCATATATATATAATGTAATTAGTTGTAAGGTAGGCTCTACACCTACTATATTGCTATTTGTTTTCTGCAGTTATTATGGATTTTTGTTGTCACCTCTTCCTCCATTATTGTCCTATTTTATGTTAGATAGATATTTTCTATTGTAACACTTTAATATTCTTATTTAATTTACTTTTTTTTAAGTTTTTTAGTTGTTGTCTTAGGGATTATAATTAACAACTTAATTTACAGTAATCTAATTCAGGTTAATACCAACTTAATTGCAATAACATAAAAATGTATCTCCTCTATAGCTCCATTTTCTCTCTCCTTTAGAGTGTTATCACAAATTATATTCTATGACGTGCCCATTAACAAAGATTAATAATTGATTTATGTAGGTGTCTTTTAAATCAGATAAAAAAATTTAAAAACAAAAAATATATTTATACTGTTTTATATTTACTTAAGAAGCTATTTTTGCTGGTGCCATTTAATTCTTTGTGTGAATTTAAATTACTTTCTAGTGTCCTTTCATTTCAGCTTGATGTACTCCTTTTGGCTTTCTTTCGGAGCAGGTCTGCAAGCAATAGACTATCTCAAGTTTTTTGTTTGTTGTTTTTTAAATCTGGGAATATCTTAATTTCTTCTTCATTTTTGAAGAATAGGTTTTTTTTATTTGAAATTTTTAGTTGACAAATTTTTGGTTTATTAGCACTGTAAATATTGTATCCCACTGCCATTTTCTGCCTGCGTTGTTCTGGTGAGTAATCAGCTGTTAATCTTATTGATCATACCTTGAATGAGATTAGTTCTTTCTCTCTTGCTGCTTTCAACATTGTCTGTCTCTTTTTGGTAGTTTCACTGTAGCGAGGCTAGGTATAGTTCCCTTGAATTTGTCCTATAAATGAGCTTAAAACTTTCAAAATCTGATTTTTAAGAAAGATACTAATCTACATTGGCTATTATATCTCAAATATTATTTTTGTTCCTTTTTCTCTCTTTTTTTCTAGAACTCCCATTATGCATAAGGTGGTACATTTGATGGTATCCCACAGCTCCTGAAGCTCTGTTTATTTTTCTTCATTTATTTTTTCTTTAGATTCTCAGACTAGATCATCCTGATAGACCAATCTTCAAAGTCACTGATTCTTTTTTCTCTTAAATTCTGCTCTTCATCCCCTCCAGTGAATTTTTATTTCATTTATTGTAGTTTTATCTTCAGAATTTATATTTGATTCATTTTTATAAATTATGTCTTTATTGAGACTATTCATTTGGTGAGACATTGTTCTCTTACTTTGCTTCAGAACATGGTTTTGAGAATATGATTTCATTTAACTTTTAAATATATTTTATGTAGCTGATTTAAAGCACAATAAGTCCTGTATCTCAGCCTTATCAGGGACAGTTTCTATTTTTTTTTTTTTCCTGAGCGTTGGACATTTTTTAAAAAAATTTCTTTGCATGTCCTGTATTTTTTATTGTAATTAGATTTGGAATTTTGTTACACACACAAAAACATTTTAAATATTCTAAAATGTGGCAACTCTGGAAATCAAGTCTGCTCCTCTTAAGAGTTTACTGTTGTTGCTCCTTGTTGTAGTAGTTGTTTGTTTACTGATTTCTCTAAACTACTAATTCTATAAATTATTTATTCTTTGGCATATGTGGTCATTGAAGTCTCTAAATGGTTATTTAGGAATCATCTAAATAATAAGTAGACAGAAATTTCCTTAATTCTTGCAATCAATATGGAGCATGCCTTGAACACTCAGCCTGATGGTTTACAACTCTGCCTTAGCTTTCACTTACTGCTTGGGCAGAGTAGGCAGGTCATTCTGAAGTGAGAGCCTAAGGGTCTTCTCAGGTCTTTCATGCACATATCCAAAGGCCTACACATTCACTCATGTACCTAGATTCTCAAGAATATGACAGAACTTTTAAAAATAAACACCGCCTGGTGCAACCCTTTTATGATTTTCCAGAATTCTGAAAAAAATCTCCAACAACTCCTTAAGGTTTTTTTTTTAATCTATGTAGGGTTAAAGTTTCAACAGTTCTTTCTCCACTATTTTCACTGACATCAATCCATAGTTAACAATTCTTTATTTTAAAGATTTTGTTTCTAATTACTGTGTGAGTTTTATCTCCTAATTTCAATCTAACTAATATGCTTGTGATACATTCTGTTATAAAATGATAACTGGAATTAATGAAAAACACCCAGTAATCTGAATAGGAGATACTAACTTTTTAACCCCTTAGCAATGGATTCAGTTGAAAGTTAATGATGCAGAAAGGTGTAGAATAGCCACAGTGACTCTTCAAGCTAAATTTACGAAGACTCTGCAGTTTGGCTAACCAAAATAAACTCATCATTAGACAGAGGAAAAATGGTTCTTAGAAAACTAGACAATTTAGTTAGTAAGGTGCCTATCATGGTCTTTTTCATGGCTATCTCCAGACTATATAAATCTTTTTAACATATTATCTTCATCTTAAAACAGACTGAGTCAATCTGTGTTCCTTGAAATTAAGTCAATCAAGAACAAAAGCTAAACACTGCTTATCTTTCTATAAGCTGAACAACGTGTCCGTTCTTTCTCCATGAACACCCCATCACCACCCAACACCACTCATCAATGAGTTTGTATGTCTTTGCTTATGTTACTCTCCCATGTGGAAAATTCTATTACATTTTAATTGGAAAATCAAGTTTAGATGTAGAAATATTAAGTCAAAATCACAAATCACAATATAATCTTATACTTTTGGTGCTAACTTTATTTTCCTCATTAATTAAAAAGCCTATCTTGGATGATTGTTGTGATTAAATGATGTTATCTGTGGAAAGTGATTGTTAGTATACTGAACACATTTGATGTTCTCCATAACTGTTAATGCAACACTGTTTCACCACTCTACCTGATCCAAGTCTTATCCACATAGACCCAAATAAAGTTAATCTTCCATATGAAAGTTTAAATAACATATAATGTTCATGAAGGCCAAATAAAACTATATTGTTCAAAATTAAATTAAACCACATTAACGGGCACAACCAATGTGTTCATTAATATGTTTTGAATTAATTCATTAATGAAATATTCCATACTACTTCAGATTTCAGTGATTCATTTCTGTCCATTATATTGTTAATATCGTTTAAGTGTACTAATTATTTTTCCTTTCCACATGAGGTCAGATAATATGTCTTCTCTCTTTTGCACCCTTAAAGTAGCTGGCCCAGTGTGGGGAAAGAAGAACTACTCAAAAAATGAATAGTAATTGAGTAAATATATTTTTACTTTATTAGAATAAAAATATTGGACTTAACATAAAACATTTAATAAACCCATCTCTCTTTTCTGGACATATCCTGCACATAATATGACACTTTTTGCTTTGTAAAAGTTAAACTATAATTCAATTTTTTCCTTTATGTCATCTTTCTGTACCTCCTTCTGAACTTCTGACATTAGCTGTCACTCACTGTCAGGGAGCTAACTCTAAGCATCAACCAATCTTTAAGCTAAGGATAAATGTGAGCTGAGTTGCACAGAGTAATGTCTCTCTACCTCTAAAAAGACTGTCTTTCCATGGCTTGCCCTTCAGAAGAAAGGAGATTCCTCTGAATGAACACTGTTTGAACAGCCAACCCCATCTAGCATTTCAATTTTCAGTCCACTGATCATGTGAATGCCCATAGTCACAACAGACAAACTAGTTATCTTGGCATTTAAAATAGCACAGTAAAGAGCAAAGCAAAATTTCACATCCTAACTTCTCATAAGAGAGAGGAAAAATGGGAAGAGAAATAATTTTAAAGGAATACCTTAGGAGAAAGAGGAATTGGTGCAGAACTTGGGAAAATATCATCATTTTAAAGTATACAAAGTTTGATTATATGTAGCCTCAATAACATATTTTTCAGAATTGCCTGTGAAAGCCTGAAATTGATAAAGTATATGTTGAATACGTCTTTTTTATTTAGACAAGAAAAGCACAAGGCATAAATAAGTCGTTAGTCCTGAAAGTGACTGATTATAGCAAAGGTTGTAAGAGACTGAATGAAATCCACATGCTACAGCTCCTCTGTGTTGTTTTCCCTTTGCATATTACACAACTGGTTCACATCCTCATCATTAGGATGCTGCTGCTAATCAGATACCTTTGGCCATCCCATTTGAAGTTTGTCTGAAAAACCAACCGCAATCACCTACAATAAAAACAAATCATTAAACCACTTAACTTTTGGTTTGAGAATTTCATAATTTCCCCTTTACTGTTGAAAATCCCACCTGAATTGGGTAAATCTGGCTCACCTGGGCTAAAAGAAACCATGGCGGTACACCTTCTCAGAAAAGAAGAAATTAGTGATTTTCTAGAATATTTCATTTGAGTCAAGTGAGGTGTGTTGAACAGTTAGCCAGACGCAGGAAGATTGATTTCAGTCTTGTCTGGTGAAAGTGAAATTAGATTAGTCTCCACCTGAGAACTTGGACCCCCAGCTGGATAAGAGGTTGAAGGAAAATTATACAAGTCAGGATAATTAGTTTGTTTGTACATCTTGGGAAGCTGTCTCACACTTTACCTCACACGTCTTTTTATTGAAGAGATGCCCCTTGCTGTGTATTTCCCTCTGCAAAGTGAAAATACTTTTGCTTGATTTGCAATGGATCAAACAAGAACATTCAATTCTTCATTAACAGATGAACTAGTGCAGAAAACTAAGACTGCATCATGCTTTCTATGCATGTGGATGATCAAGAGTTTAGCCCTATCTTAATATGAGCAAGGTCAATCTGAAACATGGAGTACCCCCACAGGACAATATAAATAAAATGAGGCTCTTGTGGGGAGAAAATAGGAATTTTCTAGCTGCAGAAAAATGACAGTACTTGGATTAATACAATATTTTAAACAGTAAGCTAATTAAGGCTTGGGTTATTTAATTTGCATTCAGCTCCCTGCAGTCTATCTGCCTTCCCAATGTCCACTCAAGTCTCCTCCAAGGCCTTGAATTGTATTAAGTTCTGCTGAGGACTTCATTTCTCTTGGCTTATGACTTCTATGACCAGCTGCCAAGGACGTGCTACATTTTCTAAATTTAGTGTACTCACTTTTATGGGCAACAAGTATAGACCATGACAGAGCTAGGTGGGAAAATGGTAGGGAGTTAAAGCGGAGGGGGAAAAGAGGAAGAGCAAATAGAAGTGTAGCACGAGAAAAAACAACTGAATAAAGAAGAGGAGGAGAGAGAAGAAAAATAAGAAACTTGGTATAACAGGGCAAAAGAAAAAAACAACTAGCATTTGGATGAGTAGAATTTAGACTAAATTAAACCACAGGCTCTCTGCTTCATAGCTTTTAGGAAACTTTAGAAATATAATTTAATATTGGTTTCCTCTTGCAAAATGTAGAGAGGATAGCACCTACCTGACCAACCTCCTAAGACTGCTATAAGTCAAATGTGATCAAGTAGTGAAAGTAATCTATCCTCCATAAAACATCATAAACACATATACTCCAAGTTTTAACTTCTATCACATTCAAGCTCTCTATCATAAGGTTGAGACTTGATTCCAGTTCCATAATCAATGTGGGTGTAAAAAAACATGCTAATAAATAAATATACTCACAGTTAAATATAGAAGTGAATAAATTAATACAAAATAAGGTGGTGACAACTCCCAGGAAGGTTTCCTGGGAGTATATAGGAGGACTGAGGGGAGCTTAAGAAGATGTATTTCTGGAAGTTTACCATGATGAAGCCCATGATGTGTCTGCCTTCCTTGAAGGGACATCTCTCAATAAATGAATTTTAGGGTATAATTCTGATTCCCTTGAGTTAGAGACACAAACTGAAAGCCAATGGCACAATTTAATATGGAAATGACTATTTCAAAAATACCTGTAAAGTAAATGTGTAAGGAGCTATGTGTTTATCCAGTTGACAGTCTCATTATTGATCTGCTTCATTCACTTATTGTGCATGCCTGAACTTCAAAAGTAATCATTTTTGGATCCCAGTGAGAGGAATATTCCAAATCACTGTACTCTTCAACTGATCTGAACTTCAAGTACTAGTGTGATAATTGCTCATATGTTTGACTGACAAAAAGTGAGAAGGCCTCATAGCACATTCTGCCCAGCTCTCTGCTGCCACCTTGAACTTCACAGCTATACTCCTTCTCTCTTCAGTTTACAAATGGCCATTGAGAAAATGTAAGCACCTCCATTTGGTACAGGAGACTGAGAGAATACAAACAGCTTGGAGAAAGTTGTGGTGAGGAGGAAAGAACAGTATACCAAATCTTCTCCTTATTCTATACCCTCTTTTTCAGGAGTCCCAAACCTGAAAAAGTACATGATGGATTATCTATGGTTTAAAGGGAAAAGAGAATTATGTCTACACATCCCCTCTCCTCACAATCTTCTGTTCCAAGTTCTGTCTTGGGCTTAATATCTTGAAATTATAAGGCTTTTCAGAGCACATTTGTCTTTGTGCTCACAAACTTAAATAACTTAACAATAAAATATGGTAAAATCATTAGAATTCCACTAATTTGGATTTGAAATAACCCTGGCACATATAGAGATAGAAATATCATTAAGTATATGCAGTTCTGAATTTATTATGGTCTTATTGTCTGGGGAAACAATAATTTTAAAATAATTGGTATTTTCAAAATAATCAAAATGATTTTTAAAGATATTAAAGGCATAAAAAATCTTGTTATTTGCCTTTATTTTTTTATCTGGCAATTAGTTCTCCAACGTTAAAGTGTTTTTATATTTTGAATCCATTATTATGTGAAGGTGGTCTATTTCAACTTGTTATTTTCTCATTAACTTATCTCACCTTACTTATTAGTATACAAGTACATATGTGTTGTCTACTTGAAAATTACAAATTTTCATGTGTAAATAAATGTTCTAATTGGCAGCATTTTACTAGGCCATTCTAAGTTTCCCAGGTAATAAAGACACAAGTCTTCTGGTATATAATTTACTGGACTTATTGAGCACTGCCTTTACTCCTTTATATCACAGGAAAATACTTTAGGTCATTTTTCCCCACTGTATTAGAGATAACAGCTGTGCAATTAAATTCTCACTGGTTCTTGAACAGGACTAAGAGTTTGACAACTCCATGGGTTTGCACAGCCTAATTCATGGGTCTAGAATACTCTTCCCAAACTCCTGACTCTTCCTGTAAAGTTGCGGCTATTTTTTCCCCTCCACTGCCAGCAACGTTTTATATGAAACCTTTCCTAACTCTCTGAGAAAAAGCTGTCACAACTCTGGTCATCTACCATATGTCTTTATTATAGTAGTTTGTATGGGTACTTATAATTATTTTTCCTATCTGTCACCCACAAAAACTGTGAGCTCACCAAGATCAAACATAGAATCTCATTGATCTTTTTAATCTATGAAAAACAACAAAACAAAACTCGATAGTAGACTTTCAGGGACTACAATTCTGAGAATTTTTAATGAACCCCAATTTTCTGTATCATTCATTACTCTAAAGTATAAGTCACTAGTGAGAATGAATGGTGCATTTTTATTTTGCATTAAAAAAGACTGTAAAAAAGAGTTCAAAAGTACTAGGGTGTTCTCATTAGTCCTTTAGGGAGTAGTTTTCTGAATTCTTCTAATGTCATCTCCACCACTGATAGCATTCAACAAAGAATTATTTGAAAAGACAGATTAGCAAGAATAATGGAAACTGGAGGTCAGAAGTGAAATAGCTAGAGAAAAAATGTACTGCATATAACTCTTTCCAAAGGTGGTATGCTTAGGAGAAAAACCTTCTGAAGTGGCATGGTTTAGAAGAGACGCAGGAAATAACTTGTGACATGATAGATGATTGTGTTAGGAAGGAAAGACACTATGTGAGATAGTTCAGAGGTCAATCATAAATGATATAACTCCTTCTATGAGCAAAATGAGGAAATAAATAAACCTCAGAATTCTGATAATTAGGTGTAAATCAACAGAGATTCCAGCCCTTAAATCACCAAAACCTTGTAAAAATTACTTAATATTTCTTTTTGGAGCATTAATTTTAGACACGAATGGCTAAAGTTGTTTGGACAGGCTGAAAACCCTGAGTTTCTCGACAGATTGCTACTGCAGAGTTTGTTTCTCATCACAGTCACACACATACACTCAAACACACTAACACATGCACATACCACTTCGGGTTTCCATCTCTTACTGTTGACGCTGTTTTCTTTGACTAGTCTCTCATTTTTTAATCAAAGTTAAAGTGGCACAGAAGTTCTGAAATTCAGCTTTCACAACCATTATAGAGATAAAAACACATACACAGCTGGGCTGTCAAATTTCTCGAGAGGAATCTTTTATGCTTTGCAATGAAATGATGCTTGCTCTCCTCTCTCCCTTTTACTCCCACAGCTCACTGATGGAAATTTTGACTGATTCTAGGGAGTCATATAATTGTATATTCACTATTTATCTATTCATTTGATAACCTAATCAGTCCTTGGGAAATGCTGACTTACTCATCATCCTGTTATACTGACTATGTACGACAATCCAATGATCAAACTACATGATATATTTGAAATAAGAAATTCATTAATGCTGTTCTTGATCATGGTTCTTTACAAATATGATAAGCATCGCATCACATAGATAATTGGCTTTGAATTTTTAACTCTCAGCTTTTCTAAGATTTGTATAATTTATATTCAAAAATCTAGTGAGAAAGCATAAATCACTGACATTAAAAAAACTGAAAAAAAGACAAAAATTTGTCTAAAAGAGGAACCAGAAGCACAAATTAAAGGCAATTAAAGTACCTACAGTGGAAACAAAGAATGATTTCAGTGGTAAATTTAAAAGACTAAAGGTTAATATTTAAAAACATGAAATATGAAATTTTAATTTCTCTGATAGGGTTTTGTAATAAACATTGAATTGGGAACATATAATTAAATATCAGTGAAGCTTTCAGAAACAATATATCATTTGTAATATAAGGCATGTTTGTATAAAGTATGAACAATAGAGAAATTAAGCTATTGACACACAATGAAGGTCAATCAACATATGTTGAAAACAGTTGCATTTATATAAATGTTCTGTAAAAACACTTGAGATAATCATTTCTAGAAGAATGAATTTTCAGCATATAATAACAGGCAATGATGCCGTAAGTGTTTAAAGCAATGGAATAATAAGATGAAAGGAAATCCTACATTCAAGAGATGAATTTCTTCACTCAAAAACTTAATTTGACAAGTGCTTCAGTCAAAGTAAACCTTTCTGATTGGTTATCTTGAATGGGAGTAGAAAGGAAAAGTGTAAGAAGAATGATGGATCAGCAGCTGTATGCCAGTAGTGGAGTCAGGATGCTACTTGAATCTTCAGACACTTCTTCCATCATTCCTTTTCCATGTTATACTCCAGCCATATTATACGGGTTGTGGTTCACTGAACACGCCATGCTACTCTGTCTCCATGAGTTTTATATACTAGTTTATCTATTAATATCTGCCTTCCTCTCAGCTTTCCTTTGAATGGTTAGCATCTCTTTACTCTAATGCACACATCAGTCTCCATCTTTTACATTAACTTTCTCCTGGGATCCTGAGCATTTAGTTATTCCTTTCATTGAGGTTTTTATCACACCACACTTCAATGGTTGGTTCATGTGCCCATCTCTCTTATTAGACTGATATTTTGGGTAGCAGATTCCATGCCTTTTCAAATGCCTACCCCAGACTCATTTAATGATATATATCCAAAAAATTGGTACACAAGAAAACCTCTGGGTGGTTTTCATTTTCGTGTGTCATCTCAGAGTCCCCAGAGCCAACCCTCAAGATCAGTGATTCGATCTATATCCTGCACCAAAATATCTGATCTCTGAAAACTACAGATTTTTTTAAAAGGTTGATCCAATAAAACACCCTAACTTTGAACTGATAATGTTTATTTCCAGTATTGTGGTATAGTGTGGTATGAAAACTAATAATCAAAATTAACAGTTACATCTTCCTTTTTAGCAGAAAAATAATAACAAGAGGATTCATTGTATGACAAGCTTTTTTCTAGGCCTCCTCACATACAAGATCTCATTATTGAGCATATATTGCTAAATTTTCCTCTAATCGTGCCACTGTCCCAGACACTTGGATTATATGTACAAGATATATGATGTCCTTGCCATCATGATGTTTACATTCACATGGACCAGACATTATTTTAAGAAAGTATGCATATTTTTAAAAAATTTGTTATTGCTAAGTAACATTAAGAACACAAAGCAAGGTTGGGTGATAGTCACTAAGAGCTTCTTTTTTCAAATAATGTAGCCAGGAAAGACTCTCTAGATGAGCTGATATTTGAAGACACCCAAATCTGAGAAGGGGCTATTAGAATGTATACATTAGTGAAGCATATGCCAGGCTGAGCTAGCCAATGTCATGACCCCTGAAGAGGACATGAGCTCTCTGTGTTTGAGGGATAACAAAGAACAGAGTAACTAATACAATAACATGGGAGAAGCAGGCAGGAGCCAGATCATGAAGAACCTTATAGATAATTATATGGCATTTGATAAAATATAATTCATATTTTTCAAAGTCCATTCCTGCTATAGAGTGGAAAGCAGGATATATGGGGAAAAGGGAGGAAACAAGAAGATGATGAAGCTATTGCAGAACCAAAGAAAAGATGATGGAGGAGTGATGACGATGACAGAATTCAAGATATTTGAAAGATTATATTTGGTAGGTATAGCTAACCTGTTTCTGAGTTGGATAGGTGGGGTAGTATTAAAAGTGTTAGGAAACCAAGAATGACTCCTAAGGTTTGACCTGAGTAATTGGTTAAATGTGGTAATGTAAATTGAAATAAAAAACAAAGATAGAGAAGGTTGATGAGGAGGGCAAGGAACAGAGTAGCTTAGATGCTGGATGGATGATCAGTGCTAAATTACCAAGAATGATAATAGGAATAGTGGCAGAAAGGAAGAGATTAAATATTTGCTCATTATTGCAATTGGACAGCATATGACAGCAACAAGAAGGACTAGTGTATAGCAGAGTCCAATCTTAGACCCTTCAAAAAAGACGGGAATTTGAGGTATGAGGAAGAAAAATCATCAGAAAAAGGCATAGGGAGGCAGGGGCAATCCTATGCTACTAGCCCGATGGTAGATTGATGTACATCTTTGGAATAAATAAACAAAAACCTTTTCTATTTGAATGGGCTGTAGGAGAACCTGTGTCTTTAAGGGAGAGTCAGCATAAAGAGCATATTTTGAAAGTTAGTAGGGGAGTTTTCTGATGATGCTTGTGAGTTTCAAGGGGCACTATATAAAGGTTTGGGAGTCAGCGAGGACTGAGAAATGGCATCAAATTAGGGAATGTACAAACTCATACGATGATAAAAAAATTTGATTATAATAAATAGCCTGAGACACGTGAACTTTTGGCATGACCCAGAATGGCCACTATTTTTATTTTTAAAATATTAAAATATGTTAATATTTGATGAATAGTCATTACCCTGAGCTCTCACAGTGCCCTTCTCATAATCATGGTACTCTAGCCCCTTTTCCCAAGACTCTTGGCCTTTCTATGATCTAGAAACTATAAACAGGTATCATGAAGCACAACAAGGGGCTTTCAGAATGCTCTCCACTGCAGTGTCTAGCATCTGTTTGCATTTGTCTGTACAGGATACTTATGTAATAAGTTGAATACCTTATTTTTTACATGGTATACTCAGAATGATGCCTGGGTGATAATTCAGGTGAATTGCAGTATGAGGAATGATGGGATTAGTCCTAATATTCTAAAGAGAAGGAACAGTCTCATCTCATCATAGTATCTAGCAAAAGCTTGTTCTTGTAGTGACAGTGATGAGGATAAAAGTGTGACAAACAAGGGTAAGGGCACCCTTGACAAAAGCATTTGAACAATTATATTTCTTCAGTGTAGGGGAACACACTGAAAGGAGTCACACTGCACAAAAACTAAATTCCAGTAAATAAAGCAGCTTCATCTAGATGCTCAATGTCTACTGCCAGGACCCCAAAAACAGACGTTATTATTCCCATATTACACACAAAGATGCATATTTAAAGTTTGCCCCAAAGCATAGTTTACTAAGGGATGGATGGAGAATTCTAATCCAAGTCTTTCATATTCAAAAACCTATGCATTTTCTTCAACCTGTACCTGCATGTGTGGAAACATAATATTGTAATGCCATTTTAATACTCACTACAAGTATAGAACTTAAAGGGACTTAAAAATACCAATGATGAAAATCTAGTAAATAGAGGTGCATGTTGCAGTCTCTGTGGCAGATAGATTGCAAACCAAAATTTGGGAACCAAAAGGAAGGGAAAAGAACTTTAATAAATTTTATAATACACATGAACATTCAATATGATAAACAAAAAGATTTATTAGCATGCTATGAAATAGTCAAAACAGATTTTAGGAGCTCAGGTTGTGTTTTTCTTGTTCCTTTCCTTTTTTTTTTTATAGGAGACACTTTTGAAATACATCCCGATTTTGCAATATATGCCTTTGCATTAAACAAATTACCTAAATACTGGGATACAGCACAAAATAGAAATTTTATTAACTTTTTTTGCTGACTTGATTCAATTTGACATAAAATATTAAAAATGGTGAAAGCATCTGAATTAAATTCATGAAGAGATCCCAATACTTAAGTAGAGAGGTTTTTTTTTTTTTTTTAATGCTCTAACTGCACATTCTACAAGTCAAAATAGGTCTTTGAGGACCTATAATGTGTTGATCTCCTTAAAGCTATTTCAAGAGACCAGAATTGTTTTATATAGGTAACTTGAAGTATTAGGTAAAGTGGATCCCTCAAAATGAAATTAAATGGATCAAGTGGAGATTGGCCAAGATAGTTTCTATGGGAGGTTCCATTTAAATCACAACACAACATGATTCTGAGCATGTCTTTATGGACTAATAAGAAACATTAGTTATGTAAAAGATAAATGCTTTTGTTATAGATTTTATGAAAAGTTCTATTTCTCATAGACAAAATAGGCTTTGAAACTCTAACTCACATCAAACCTACAGTTCAATCCTTATTACACTGTGTACATATAATAGCTATTCATGTTACAATTAACGCAAGGCATGCTTGAGACAGTCCTGGCGGGTGTCCGTTTTATTTAATCTGTGGTAATGATGCTCTATTTTGCTCTCAAAATTGTTCTGGTTTGCAAGATAAAGTACATGAATAATTCAATTGAAAATGATATGTGGACCACCTTGCCAATTAAAAGGAAAAAAACAAATATTGGACAGGGAAACTAAGGTATCTCAAATGCCAAAAACAGCATCATCAAGAGTTTAATGTGATTCTTTTGAACATAATGTTACTTCCTAAAATAGAAGAAGGAAGCTTAAGTACGTAAGCATGCTCTTATCTTCCTTTCTTAAGGATGAAGTGATCTTCCACCTGCCCCATCCAACTGTATGCTTGATTTGTGGTAGGTGGTTTATATTAGTGATTGAGGTATGAACATCAGCATCATGACAATCTAGGTTTAAATACAAACTTTGATATCCCACAGCTGTGTGAACTTGGACCCGTTAACCTTTCTAAGCATCACTTTCTCATCTGACAGTTGAGAATAGTATCTTCCCTCTAAAACTGCCTATAGATAGAATTCCATAAATGAGAGATAACACCATTTTAATAGTCAAAGGCATCACCATTATTGTCAGCATCATCTGATTCCCTCCAACACTTACAAAACTGTTTTCTTATCACTTTTCTCTAAGTCAACTATTTTCCCATCATATCTTGCTCTTTGGTTACTTTCTGTCTAAACCCAAACAAAGCAAACAGAAAAAAAAAAACTAATCTAATGGACTTTAGTCATTCTCTATGACCAGCAAAACAACTTTAGAAGACAATCTTCCCTTATTCCTCCTTTTTCTCAATTTTTTATCCACTACAATTTGGTTTCCACTTTTTTCGCTACAATAAAACTGTTGTTCAAAGAGGAATTGAATTTCCTACAACATGTATAAGCTGCAGTTCAAAATTCTAGGCATATCCTACAAGGTGAGCTGTCACAGTTCAGAAAGTGCTTTTCTATAAATTAGAAAAAGCTGGCCCCCCTTAAATTAAAAAATAAGGATGTTTATATTGCACAACCTAATCAAGAATATGCAACCACTCTTAGGAATTAAGTGGAGACACTGCTGTGTAAAACACCATCTTGGCTGGGCCAGGACCTGTCCAGGGGAGCGTTCCAGGGTCCTGAGAGGCAGGAGCCAGGAACACACATCCAAAGGTATCCATACACGCTCCTGTTTCCATACTCCTTGGAAGCCAAGAAGCATATCCCTCAGCAACCCTAACATTCCATACCCACCACTATACCTTGCTCTACAGATGAGATAACCATGTCAAGTTTGGGGGTAGAGATAACAGGCCCTCCAAGAGTGGCAGTGGGAAAAAGAAACCTTAGTGCATGTCAGGGAAAAAACCCAGCATTATGCACATATGTGTGCCAGTGTATGTTTTCATGCATGTTTCTCTGAGCTGATGCATGACTAGCCTCAACTGCTCCAGGTTAGTATCTATCCGCTGTGTGAATGCAGTTTCTTAGATATGACACATTTATATAATCAACAACCTGAATAGCCATACAGAGTGGCCCCAAGGTTCTCCATAACCTGGGCTCTAACTATCATTCTATCCATTTTTCCCATCACCCACTGTCTTGAAATTTATGCTCTAGTATTACTAAGCTGCTGTAACTTCAGTTTTTAATGAGACAATTTAACAGTCCCATGTCTTCACTCATGCGTCTCCCTCCCTTAGCAATTCCTTCACTCCTTTTCTTTACATGCATATGTTCTTCTTTACTTCAAGGATCAAACCCAGGAAGAATCTGCTGTAGAAACTCTTCTTTGAAGCTCACACACATACACTCACACACTTAATGGAGCAGGCCAATTCCTTAGGTTCCTCTTCTATGCTCCATTGCATCTTGTTTCTATTTCTACACGATGTTTACTTTATTAATTTAAAATTATCTGTTTATGCATGCCTCCCCAAACTAGTTCTCACGCTATTTTGATAGTGAAAATGTCTTAGTTATTTTTATACTCTAGACTTCAGCACCGTTATTGTCACAGGGTAGATGATGAATAAGAATGTAATGATACAAACTAAAGAGACAGTATGGAATGATACTCCAAGTCCGGCTACTTTGTAAATTGATCTCAATTGATGAGTACTGGATAAAAAACTAATTGTAGCATGTTAAAAAACCCTGGGTACTGGATAAATGCTTTTTCTATTTTTTGGAAACACTTTAAAAATAGAAGTCTAACATACATATAAAAAAGTGCACAAATCTTAATTTGTACAGCTTGATGCATTGCCACAGGTGACCTTGCCATGGCCTTCACTACCAGATAAGGATATAAAATATCACAAACACCATAGTATTCTCTTTCATGCCTACTTCCTATCTGTTCCTCCAACAGTAACCATTCTTCTGATAACACCAGAGTTTAATTTTGGCTATTTTTTATTTCATATACATGGAATCATACAGTATATGTTATTTTGTGTCTGGCTTCCTTCACTCAACATTTTCTTTGTGACATTTAGTCAGGTTGTGATCCAATCATTCACACTGCTACATAGAATTCCACCCTATGATTATGCTACAATGTATCCATTGTACTCTTGATGGGAATTTTGTTTGTTGGCAATTTTTGACTATTATGAATAGAACTGCTATGGTTATTCTAGTATATGTCTTTTGATAAATATATGGTCCTCATTCCAATGAGTATATTCCTTGGAATTGAAATCCTTATTAGAGAGTATTCATATGTTGAGATTTAGTAGATGCTGCAAAACCATTTTCCAAAGCAGTGGTACAGACTTACACTCCTATCAGCAGTAAATGAGAGTTATAGTATCTCTATATGCTAACTCTTAAGATTGTCACTTGATTCTTTTTAAGTAAATTTAATTTTTTTGAGAAGTTTTAGGTTCACAGAAAAACTGAGTGGAAGGTGTAGAGATATCTTCTCTACCCACTACGACCACATATGAGCAGCCTCTCCTACTGTCAAAATCCTACGGAGTGGTAAGTGTTACAATTAATGTTGTCAGTTAATTTTTAATTTATTTATTCTGTTGTGCATGTTTCTCACTATTATTTAATTTGAATTTTTCTGATGATTATGTTGAGCACCATTTTATGTGTTTTTTTCATCACTGGATATCTTCTTTTTTGACATGCCTATTCAAGTTTTTTGCTCAAATTGTTCATTGGGTGATTGTTTTTTCCCCATATTTATTTGTAGAAATTATTCAAATAATTTGGATATGACCCTTTTTTGAATAAATGTATTGAAAATATTTTCTCCAATTTCCACATATTTATTGTATAATCCAAAATATCTGGATTATCTGTAGGCTATTTCTGTTGTATGTGCTTTGTCGTCTTTTTTCCTACATCATTTGATCCTGCTTTCTTGTATAGCTAATCATTCTTTATTGAATGCTGTACACTAAGTATAATATATTTTTATATATTTGTGACACTGGACAGCTGTTATCTTCCTCAAGGGAAGGTTTAATTTTCTTCTAAACAGAAGATAAAAAATAAGCAAATCACTTTGATTTTTAGAAAGCTGGTGTATTTCTGTTTTGCCTTTTTCTCCTAGAGGATAGCTCTTCTGGGATTTTAATTGAATGCCTGGGGTGTTTACCAGAGCTATCTCCCTCAGCAGGCTATCTGCTCCAATTTTTGTCTCCCCAGCACCATGAAACTGGTAAATTCTCTGCTTACATGTTTAGCCTCTTAGCAGTTGTTCCCTGCTTGGCTTCTCTGTGTCTTGTCCTAAGCATGTGTAACCAAGGAGTACAGCCTCGAGAAGAAATTGCATGCAGAACTTTGGCTCACTTTTTACTGGTCCTCTTTTCTGTAGGATCTTGTCTTTTTTTTTTTTTTTTTTTTTTTTTTGAGATGGAGTGTCGTTCTTGTTGTCCAGGCTGGAGTGCAGTGGCGCGATCTGGGCTCACTGCGATGTCCGCCTTCCGGTTTCAAGCGCTTCTCCTGCCTCAGCCTCCCGAAGGATCTTGTCTTTTTAAAAACCTAGCTATTTGGTAAACCTGCACTAATTTTTAATCTCCCTAGCTCAGTGAAACACCTGCAATTTCTAGGGCCCTACAGTGTGTTCAGCCTCTACGTCTCATGCAGAAAATCAGCAAATCCTCAAAGGGAAGACGGAGAAAATGGAGGACTCTCCTTATTATGTATGATACCTTCATGACGATTAAGAAGGTAAACAATACCTAATATTTGTATACACTAAAGGCAAAGAAATTAAAAACATAAAAGAAGAAGGTGCTTGATGTGTTTAAAATTGAAGCATAACAAAATATAAGTGAAAACTTTCTATCCAGTATGCCCTTTTCTTAACTCAGGCTGCCTAAATTCTTTCCAGCATTTAAGACTCATATCAAACGACACTTCCTCCATTATTTCATCCCAGATCCCACTAGGCAATTTTGGACATTCTATTCTTCCTGTCCATTATTATTCTATTTATGGCCTAGGAAACAAGGGTGAGTCCCCTCAAGGTACACACATCCCCCATCTTCTAAATCATACTCTGCCTACTCTAGACCACAGAATTCTCAGCCCAAACAGACCCAAGGTTATTCTAGGATTTGTGTGGCCCCTTAATATGAATCTATCTCAGTGGAGGGGTATAAATAGCCATCAGAGTGTATGCCAGTGGGTTCCAAATTTGGCCAATGGGTGAATGTTTGTAGGCAAGGTTGACATGTTAAATACAGGATGCCTAGCTAAATTTGAATTTTGGTTAAACAACAAAATATTGCAAGGAACATACTTATAATAAAAAATTTGTTTTGTGTCTGAAAATCATATTTTACTGGGGATCCTGTCTTTTTATTTGTTAAATCTGGTAATCTTATTTGCAAGGGATAACAACAATGACAGTTTTGTCTACCACGGGCACTGAAGGCCCCTTGTATTATAGGAGCAATATAGGAGTGGAAAGAAGAGTCGGCCAGGCTTGGAGCTAGGACTCAAGAGTGGAGACATCAGGGACCGAGCACAGGGTCTTCCTGAGTACCCACGTTCTGAATCAAAGTCAAAGAAGTCTGAGCATTCTGACTTTGAATCTGGTCCTCCAGGTTGTTAGAGAAATGTCTGTCAGGATATGAGGCTACACCATATTTAAATTAGCTTGATTTATAAATTTTAAGCATAAAAAGTCTAGATATATGGTATGTGAGCCTCCATTTGGTACTTTTGCCCAGGTCCTGGAAATGTTGGAGCAGGGCTCTTGCTTCTATTATAGGTCTTAATCCATATTAACTGTGTGTTCATTAATCTCCATATTCAGCTCAGTTTTCCTTACTCAATCATATGGAAACATTAAGCTCCTTCAGGGCAGAAAATGGCACTCTCTTTTTCCTGTTTGCTGACATGCCTAGCATTTTACAAATAAGGACAGTGAAGGCAGGAAAATAAAGTACTGAAACATACTGATCAAGTGTTAATGGCCTGATTTGAAGAGGAAAGTGTAAAGTAGATCCTGGAGTAATTTTATGCATCACTTCTGTGCCTCAGTTATCTGATCTGTAAAATCAGAATAATAAACAGAACCTCCTCATTGGCTATTAAAAAGATTAAATGGGTTAAAATATGTAAAGCAATGAGAAAGTTACTTGGAACTTGTTTAGCAGAGGATAAATGTTAGTTATTTTTGAATCTCTGGCCTTAGGAAGTCATACAGACCTCCTGCTTGGATAGTCCTGACCTGTTATATAGCTTCTATTGTCAAAAATGTCGATAACTCAAATTCATTCTTGTTCTTTTCCATGTCTCTTTCTGGAGAAGTCTGGAATTCCTTAGCTGGGACTCTTATAATGTTCACCAAGACCTCAAAAACATTTTTGTTTTGTTTCATTTTTCACTTCTAGAGAAAGAATTGCCTGAAAGCAAGTTAGAGGCAGAAAGTGTCCTAGCAAGAAAAACAAGGAAGTTTGAAAAGTTTGCACCACAGTGGCATAGGTAGGGATTGCCACAAAGAAGACTGAAAATAGGAAATATGCCTGCTTCATTGAAGAAAATCACTTGCTACCCTAGGCTGTGTTCTTGCTTATACTAGCTGTAGATGGATATCCTAATGGGTTTCTATTTTTTTTTGAGATGGAGTCTTGCTCTCTCCCAGGCTGGAGTGCGGTGGCCCGAGCTCGGCTCACTGCAACCTCCAACTTTCGGGCTCACGCCATTCTCCTGCCTCAGCCTCCCGAGTAGCTGGGACTAAAGGCACCTGCCACCACGTCCAGCTAATTTTTTATATTTTTAGTAGAGACAGGGTTTCACCATGTTAGCCAGGATGGTCTCGATCTCCTGACCTCGTGATCCGCCCACCTTGGCATCCCAAAGTGCTGGGATTACAGGCGTGAGCCACCGCGCCTGGCGGATTTCTTTATACTTTAATTATAGCAGATGTCTAAACAGATAAAGCACTTATTTAAAGAGACATATAGAAATTACTCTTCAATAGTTCACCGAAAAAAGACACTGTTTAAAAACCATTGGGTTGCTGTTCTCTGCCATGGTCTGAGCCTCCTCACTTGGTTGATGTCTAGAGAAACCCAAGCTTTGTTCTTATCTAGTTTTCTGTCAATCAAGAGGGTTCTTTGACCCTGGTAACCATCAACCAAACTCCCTGAGGTTGTACTATATTGCAGATTGGAGTTATACTGAGAACACTACCCCTAGGACATTTTTCTTTTCTAAAGGCTGCTTCCCTCCTCATGCACAGCACCATGTTATATGTTGAGCAATGGGAATGGGAGATAAAAGAGGGTAAACAATCGTCTTTGCCCTCAAGGACATTATTGTCTAATTGAAGTCTTAAAATATTTATACCTGAAAACAATTTCAGCTAAAATAGAAGGTTTTGTGTAGTCAGTGTTCAGTGTCATAAAATAGTAGTATAGAAAGTATTAACGATAATGATAATGATAGTAATACATAACGAAGTTTAACATTTGAACATTTATAACATGCGAAGCATTTTGCATGGATCATGGGAAAGAAATGTGTGTTAGCTTCCTAGGGTTGCCATAACAAATTACCACAAACTGGATGGCTTAAGGCAACAAAACTGCATTTTTTTTTCTTCACAGTTCTGGGGGCAGACATTTGAAAATCAAGGAGCCAGTAAGTCCATGCTCCTGAAAGCTCTAGGAAAGAATTGTTTCTTGACTCTTCTCAGCTTCTGGTGACTCCTGCAACCCTTGGCATTCCCTGGCTTGCAGCTGCACCACTCCCATCTCTGCGTTAGATATTATGCATCAGGCATCCTTTTCCCACGTGTCTGTGTGTCCTTTCCTCAGTCATGGTACTTAGGGCCCACCCTATTCTAGTATGACCTCATCCTAACTAATTACATCTGCAACAACCCTATTTCCAAATAAGGGAATATTCTGAGGTTCCAATTGAACATCAATCTTGTAGAGACACTATTCAACCCACCACAAGTTAGAAACAGCCTAATTAGGACAAACATTATAACCTGGTTATGAAGATATGGATCTTGAAACATATAGGTAGAGGATTGTCTGGATATCCATCCAACAAACACTTACTGAGCAAATACTTGGTGCCAGGACCTGTTCCAGGAGCGAAGGAAAGTTCAACACTCAGGCTGCATCAGTATGTATTAGGCATGCCTTCATAAAAATGAAAAACGACAAATATACCCAGGCTTAAATAAGATGGAAGTTTACTTTTTTCTCTCTTTTAAGTAAAAATGTTCTCCGAGTAGGCTGTTCAGGAAAGGAATAGGGGCTCTGCAGCTCCCTCTATGAACCTATCTCTTGGTATCATCTTCACAGGTGGAACAATCCAGAATGGCAGGGAGTTCCTGTAATCCAGAAGCAGAAAGGAGCAGGAGATAGAGGAGTCACTTTCTGAACTAAGTCCATCTTCTTGCATACTTTTGCCATAGCACTTCCCTTTTATAATTTAGTCACATCACCATATATAACTACAAAGAAAAGCTGGGTGCACTGCATTCCTGAAATATATACACCAGGATTCTGTTACTAAGAAGAAAGGGAAGAATGGATGTTAGAACTCTGCTTTTCAGTCTTGACCTCAAAAAACTCGAGTCCATTTGGGAAAGACATAGATTAATAGATATGTTAGTTTTCTACTGCTGCTGTAACAAATTATCACAAACTTTGTGTCTTAAGACAAATTTATTATCTTACAGTTCTGCAGGTTGGAATTCTGAAATGGGTCTCATGGAGCTAAAATAAAGATGTCCACAGACCTGTGTTTTTCCTGAAGGCTCTAGGGGAGAATCTGTTTCATTTCTTTTTAGGCTTCTGGAAGCTGCCTGCATTCCTTGCCTCATGGCCCCTTCCTCACTCTTTGAAGCCAGCAAAGTTGCATCTCCCTGAAAATTTTGTTGTCACATCCCCTTCTGACTCTGAATTCAGACGGAAAAGGCTTTTCTCTTTTAAGAACCCATATGATTAGACTGAGTTCACCTGGATTATGCAGATATTCTCCCCATCTCAAAGCACTTCTGCAAGGTGCATCTGCAAAGTCCCTTTTGCCATCTAATGTTAACGTATACACACATTCTACGAATTAGAACATGGATATCTTTTTGGGGGGCACTTTTCATCACAATACACAGTTAAAATCTTGTATGATAGGTACAACAATAAAGTAAGCACAGGTTGATATACAAAAACAAAAAAGGAGCCCTGTTTCATCAATGAGCATGATTTGTTTGGGGAGAAATATTCCATGTGCAGAATGAAGGCTTCACACAAGGATTCAGAAGAAATTTATACATAAAGGAAAGAGAAGGAAAAATTAAGTAGGTTCTTAAATGTCAGGCCTAGGCAATGGATTAACTTGTATGCAGTGGGAAAGTATAGGTAATTCTTGATTGAAGGAGTGACTTGACAAGACTGGTGATTTAGAAAAAAAAATCTGCTAAAGTGAGTAAAAAAGAGAGCAGTAACAGATTAAGAGGTTGCTTCAAGGATTTATGTTTAAATGAGGAGATTTTTCTTTTAGGCTAGAGATGGAAAAGAATGGAGGCTTTTTTAAGAAAGGAGATAATAGATAAGAAACGTGAAGGCAAGTCAAAATTGATTCTGAGGTTTTACACGTGAGTGAGAAAGAGAATGGCAGAGAGAAATAGCTTACAAAGTGAGGAAAGCAACTTGGTATATCAAATAAATGGTTTTTTTTTAGTAAAATTAATCTTTGTCTACTAAGCTTTATATTAAAGGACAGTTAGATACCTTTGTATGAAAAAGGCAAACCCTCCATTATTTGAGTCTAAATGAGAATAATTATGATATTTTGCATCTTTGTTATTTGGGCTTCTTTGGCTTAGAATATTGGGCTGTCTGCTTTATTATTCCCTAAAAATGAGCCTTACCATCAACAAAAAAGATATACCAAGGCCCTGTCAGCAGACATAGCCCATGAACATACTGAAACCCTCATTAGGTACTCATGGAAAAAAATGCAAGTAAAGCCAAAAATAATTGCAAATCTGGCCTGTGAAATAAGACAATACATGGGTGGAATAATCGTCTAGGCTACCATTAAAATAGTTGGTTTTATTATCTACAGTGTATTCTTTAAAAAGTCAACTTCCAGGAGCATTTGCATCAGGGACCAATCACAAATTCTTTATTTGATAAGCTCTTGAGAAAAATTACTTGTTTTATACTACAGTTTGTGAAATCTATGTATTATTTGTTATGCTTCCAGAAAGAATTTTTGTACAATGAAATTTTAGTCATTTTGAAGTTGATACCTTCAGGATCATCCTAAAAACATATTGGGGCTGTTAGGCTTTAAAGTTCATGTGGGCTTCCAGACACAACACATTTAAGGGAACATGCCTAAGAGTATCACTAAAAGTTGATACACAAAGATTGCTTTTAGTCTCTCTACCAACCACAGCATAAGCCAGGACAGCGATTCTCTTAACAACCTCTCTTCTTCCCCAACATTATGGCAGATTAGCTTATGGCTTTGTTATTGGAAGGGCCCAGGGTGGTGCATAGGAAAACTGTTGAAAGAGCCAGAAAGGAGATGTTTGTGGTATAGAGGAAGGGAGTGAAATGCCTAGAGGAGGAAAAATGGAACAACCAAACCACCCAGGCATGTTGGTGAGTACGTCTGAGACATTCATCAAGGACTTCTAAAATAATTGAGCAGCAGCTGGCATGTAACTAAAGTCAATTTATACAGATATAGGCATATGACCTATCACCTTTACTGTGAAGTCATTTATACTCTTAGGCTAATGCACTATGAGAAAATTATATATTTGTCCACAGATGACAACACACACACATAATAAATGGCAAATATTATTTTGAATTATGTGTTTAAGGAAAGCTATGTATGATCTTTTGAATGTGCGAGCCAAGCTCTCCTTTGGCTTCTTTCATACTTTAAAGTGAGGGCTCTAGGGGCAGACATTGCTGCTTCAACTACAGCTTCTCTATTAGAAGCATAAATTTGGGCAGATTATTCAACTTCTCTAAGCCTCATTCTTTTTATTTTTAAAATAGAAATAATAAAAATATGATACACAAAAGGTTTTTGTGAGAATTTAAAGAGATAATACATGTAAAACATTTAATAGAGGCTTGAAAGATAGTACTCAACAAATTGTAAAAATTTATGACATAAAAACTTAAAACAAGGTTTACCAAAAAAGATTATTCCACCTACCCCACTCCCATTAGAGAGAGAGAGACACACACACACAGAAGTGGAGAGATAGAGACAAACATAAAAATATTAAGAATACATTTCCATTTTCATATGGCTGCATTATTTAACTCAAATTAAATATACCCTCACATTCTAACATTCACCACGAAGCTGAAAGCCGGGAGACTGCAGATTTGGAGCTCAGTGAAAAATGGGTTTGCTGTCAGTGCAAATGAGTATTTACCAGCCAATGTCTCTGGTAGCCCTATGGCAGGTGGCATACAGGGGGTAAATATTGGTTTTACCTTCTAAAACCAGAGACTCGAATTACATACCAATAATTCACATATTTTAAATGAGTAGATTAATTAATTATAAAGCTTAGAAGTCAAGCTATCCATTAGTTTAAATTGCTGTCATATGAACTCTATTAGAGCTGAGAGATTCTAACAAGACTTCTTTTTTTTTTTTAAGTTACAATGAAGAGACTAATGACCACCTGAGGACAGATTATCCATTCCGGCTCTTAAATATTAGACAATTTCCCACTGGTCAAGAAGATGAGAGTGAGCATTTTATTTTTATGATTAGTGTCACATTCTGGGTTCAATGTTCTCTCAGTGTTGGGAACCACATAATCCCATTACAATAAATTACTTTCACTTTTAATGAAGCACTAAAAATTGGTACCTAATGATCAATGAACTATTCCAAAAAGTGAAGCCAAAGTCCTTTATCTTTGGTCATATAAAGAAATACTTTCACTGGAGGGATCCAAATGCAATGCTATAAAGAGTTTGGAGATGCTAATGAGCTAAAACATGAGGGATTCACTATATGGAGGCATGGATTGAGAGCTGGTAAGAGTCTCAAAAAATTGCACAGCCCAGTTCCTGCCTTCAAGGAGGAAACCATCAGAGACTTACTCAACTTGGGGAAAACTCCAGTGTGATCTTGTAGGGCTTCTCCTTCTGTCTATTCTCAGGGAGTGAATTGTGATGAATCTTGGGGATAAGAAGAGGCATCTGTTATGACAGATGAAAATAGTGTAAGACTCTCAATTCTTCCCATGGGAAGAACCCTGGAGACAGACCATCAACCCATCAAGGTGTTTTGTCTTTTCTTTCTTTCTTTATTTGGAGATGGAGTCTTGCTCTGTCACCCAGGCTGGAGTGCAGTGGCGCAGCCTCAGCCTCTTGAGTAGCTAGGACTATAGCCGTGTGCTACCATGTCCAGCTAATTTTTGTATTTTAGTAGAGACAGGTTTTCACCATGTTGGCCAGGCTGGTCTTGAACTCCTGACCTCAAGTGATCTGCCTGCCTCGGCCTCACAAAGTGCTGGGATTACAGGCATGAACCACGTGGCTTGGCCCTCAAGGTGCTCTTTCTGATTCAGAAAACGTGTAATTATACAAGGAGCTTTTTTTTTTTGCCCCTCTGACATCCAATCACACCTTTTTTCAGGTTGGCACTCTAATACCCCTTTCTGGTTGATTGACCATACATTCCTGTTACCCAGAGATCATTCAGGTTTAATCCTGTTGTTCCTGCAATAAATAGTGTCCCTTTCACACTCAAAAGTGTACTTGTTTGAATAATAAATTATACAGTCACCCTATATTTACCGTACTTCACTATTTGTAGTCTCGTTGAAAGGGAAACTTATGTCCTAGTGTCTTCTCACCCCTTGATGCCTCCTACTTATGGCTGCATTAAAACAGAGGTGGGCATGAAATACAAGCATAGGTGATCAGACACACACTCCCAGAATTCTGGATCTTGGTTGAGTGACACAAAGTTGGAAGATTCAACTGATCAGATTTATCACAGTCAGAATGAAGAAGTATAAGATCGTAGCAGTGCTGAGCTGTGGCCTTGACTGTAATTCTGACAGCTTACCCTCTCAAGTTCACTGTGCTACTGCCTGTTATTCATATCTGGTCACAGGTGTCAGTTCTGGAAGAACCTACTTCTTCTCCAATAACACCTCCACCCCACCCCATCCCTCACTTTTTTTTCCCTTAAACAGTTTATATTGCTTACAGAGTAGAATTTGCAGTTGCAGTCAGCTAGAGGAAGTCAAGAAAGTATTAGTCCCCACAAAGGTAGCTAAGCAAGCAAAGAATATATACAATGCTTGTCCTCGTACAGCTAACACACATTGGAAGGAATAGAAAACAATCCATATAATAAGTAATTTATATATTATATTAAAGTAGATAAGAGATTGAAAAATACAGAAGATCAGAAGAGAGAAAAAAAGAAGGAAAGAAGAATGGGAGGGAGAAAGAGAGAGGGAGGGAGAGAGGCAGAGATGGAGGAAGGGAGGGAAGGAAGGAGAGTGAAAATCAGAGTAAAAAGATTGATGGGTAGAGTGAAGATAGAATAGAATTATATTTGGGTGATCTGTGTTTTCCTTGTTGGATAACATTGCATCCTTACATAAATGTAAATTGGCAGTTCCCTCAAAATTATGAAATGTAAACAATTATTCAATTACGATCATATATACTTTAATTTGTCTCTGGGATTTTCCTAGTTGTGTTATTAATTTTTAATATTCCTAGGTAATATGATATTTTAAGGTTTCTTAATTAACATCAGCTACCTCAATTATTTTGAAATAAAATTAATTTAATCAGTAAGTAAATATTCATGAAGGCATGAGATGTCTAAACTAGAGCAACACCTCATATTTTTATTTCTATTAAACATTATTTCTATTATATACTTATGGTGCCTCGGGGGGTAGGATGGTGAAAAGAGTTATACAGGGGACCTCTCTGAAGAAAATTACTAGTACTTAACTTAATATTTTGAATAGTTTGTTTTTATACATTTAATGAAGTATAATTGACATATAATAAATGAGAGACATATGAAAGATTACAGTTTATTGAGTTTTTGACATATTTATATAACTGTGAAACCATTACCCAAATCAAGATAATTAACTGATTCAAAACCCCAAAAGTTTCCAAGTATTCCTTTGTCACTTATTCATCCGTTTATTCCACTCCTTCCCATCTGGAGGAAATCACTGAATTGCTTTCTGTGTCTACAGATCTGTTTACACATTTTAGAATTTTTTTTTTATTATTATACTTTAAGTTTTAGGGTACATGTGCACATTGTGCAGGTTAGTTACATATGTATACATGTGCTGTGCTGGTGCGCTGCACCCACTAACTCGTCATCTAGCATTAGGTATATCTCCCAATGCTATCCCTCCCCCCTCCCCCCACCCCACAACAGTCCCCAGAATGTGATATTCCCCTTCCTGTGTCCATGTGATCTCATTGTTCAGTTCCCACCTATGAGTGAGAATATGCAGTGTTTGGTTTTTTGTTCTTGCGATAGTTTACTGAGAATGATGATTTCCAATTTCATCCATGTCCCTACAAAGGACATGAACTCATCATTTTTTATGGCCGCATAGTATTCCATGGTGTATATGTGCCATATTTTCTCAATCCAGTCTACACATTTTAGAATTTTAATTAAATGGAATCATACAATATGTACTCTCATTTTGTAAACAGCTTTGTTGAGGTGAAATTGACATACAATAATCCAGTGGTGTTTAAAGCACTATACACTGTATTTTGCCTACCTTCTTTCACTCAATATAATTATTTTGAAATTCACCTATGTTGATAAATGGATCAAAAATTTGTTCTTTTTTTGATAACTATTACTTAGTTGTATGGATATGCCAAAATTTGTTTATCTGTTATCTTGTTTATTGACATTTCAGTTGTTTTCATTTCATGGCTATTGAAGATGTTATGAATGTTTCTGTACATGTTTTTATATAGATATATGTTTTTATAAATATCTACCAGTGGATTAGCTGTTTTATTACAAGTGTATGATTTTCTTTTGAAGAAACTGACAAAATGTATTACAAAATAACTGCATTCATTTACATTTTCACCAATGGTGTGTAAGCGATCCAGTTCCAACATACCCTTGCCAATACTCGGTAAGTTCACTCTTTTTAAGTTTTAACCATTCTAGTAGGTTTGTAATGGTATCTTATTGTGATTCTGCTTTTTATTTCCCTAATGGTTAAAATTGTTGAACAGTTTTTCATGCCCTTGTCTTTTATACATTTCCTTTAGTGAATTGTCCAATTTTTTTTGTTTTAATTGACTTATTCTATTATTTTTTAAATGTTGTATATACTCTAAGTGAAGTCATTTCCTTGATATGTTTTGCAAATATTTTCTCCAAATCTGTGGCTTTTATTATTTTATCAGCAAATGTTCTTTGAAGAGCAAAAGCTTTTAATTTTGATAATGTCCAATTTATGATTTTTCACCTTTAATATTCATAATCTTTGTGTTCTATTTAAGAAATCCTGGCCTCATATAATATCAAAATTTTTTCTTCTACATTTTTTTCTAAAAGTTTTATAGTTAAGGCACTAACATTTTGGTTTGAGTCATTTTGAATTATTATTTTTATATAATATAAGGTAAAAGTTTAGATTAATTTTTTATATATGACTATCTAATAATTTCAGCAACACTTGTTGAAGAGATTGTGCCTTCTTCATTGACTTGTCTAGGCAGTGTTACTGAAAATAAATTGACCATAAATGTAAGGATCTTTTCCTAGACCATTAATCTATACTTTATCTTTAAACTTATACCACACTGCCTTGATTTTTGTGGCTTTATAGTAAGTTTTGAAATTAGGTAATATAAATTCGGCGACTTTTTAAAAAAACTGTTTTGTTTATTCTAAGTCTTTGGCATTTCCATGTTACTAAAGTTAACTTGCCAATTACTAAAAAAAATCAGTGGAAGTTCTGCCTGAGATTGTCTTTAATCTATATATCACTTTATGAAAAATTCACTTTTTAACAACATTAAGTCTCTCAATCCATGAATATAGATTAATTCATGGTCTCAATTAATTTCTTTCCACAATATTTAGTAATTTTCAGTGCAGAGATCTTAAAGATCACTTATTACACTTTTCCTATGTATTTTATAATTTTAATATTATTGTTGATGGTATTTTTAAAATTTCAATTTCCAGTTGTTTACTGTTTGAGTGAAGAAAATACATTTATTTTTGTTTGTGATTGGCAGCCTCTAAAATGGCTCCAAGTGATCTTGACTTTCAAGTTTTTATGACCTATTGTATCACCTGGTTATAGTCAAACATTTTAATAAACAGAATGTGGAAAAATTAGTGAGACGTCACTTCCACGATTATATTTCAAAAGGACTTTGATTTCCCTTTTATTCATCCTCTCTCAGAAAACCAGTTGCCACATTATGAGCTACACTTTGGAGAAATTCCCTTGGTAAGAAAAACAAAGGAAACCTCCAAATAACATCCAGCAAGAGACAAAAGCCTTCATTACAACATCTCAAAAGGATTTGAATTATTTCAACAACCACGTGTAAATGTTTGAAAACAAATACCCCCTTCAGATGAGACCACAATCTAGGTCAACAGAATGATTGCATCCTTGTGAAGAGACTGTGAGGAAGCCCTACCCAGATTC
The DNA here is from genome assembly GCF_000001405.40 of Homo sapiens. NCBI lineage: Eukaryota > Metazoa > Chordata > Mammalia > Primates > Hominidae > Homo > Homo sapiens. The sequence goes on from NC_000002.12 coordinate 52,845,018, forward strand.
CTAATTCACTGTATGGTTAGATAAAAAATGCTTATTGTTTAAACCGTTATATTTTGAAATAATTTATTAAACAGTAATAGGTAAGTAATAAAAATGCTGATATACTGGTCTTTTAACCTACAACTTTTCCAAATGTGCTTATTGGTTCTAGATATTTTGTAGATTCCTTATTATTTTCTACGTACATGATGATGTCATTTACAAATATAGACCATTTTATTTCTTCCTTTCCAAAATGTATGAGGTTTACTCTTCTCACCTTATCAGACTGAATACCACCTACAGTAAAATATTACCTATAGGTTTTGTGAAGATTAAGTGTTTCAGAGTGACAGAGTTCCCATCCACTTCTAATTTGCTAATACCTTTTTATAATTATGAATGATTATAATTTTGTTATATCAAATTGATTTTACAGATTTTTATTTATTTGTGCAAATGTATGAGGTACACATGCAACTTTGTTACATGCACAGATTGCACAGTGGTCAAGTCAGGGCATTTAGGGTATCCAGTACCCAAATTAAATGCTTTTTATGCATCTATTAAAATAATCATTAGCATTGATTAATTTCTGAATGTCAATCTAACTTTGCATTCACATGACAAACCCCATTTGGTTGTATGTGCAGTGGCATTTACATATTGTTGAATTAAATTTGCTAAAATGTTGTTAAATATTTTTGCATGTATGTTCATGGAAAACATTGGTATAGAATTTTTTTCTTGTATAGACTTTTAGGTTATTGTTTTGTTTTGTTTTCAAGTAAAGATGTCATGGCCTCCAGAAATGAGTTGCTTGGTGTTTCCTTCATCATCAATTTTTCAAAAAGTATTTGTCTAGAATTGGTATTATTTTTTCCTTAGATGTTTGGTAGAATTTATCAGTGAAGTCATACATACCTGGGGTTTTTCTTGTGAGAAGTTTTGTTTTATTAAACAGCTTTATTAAAGTATATATTTCACAGAATGAACACCATTCTCCCATTTAATATGTATAATTTGATATTTTAGTATATTTACAGATATATGAAACTGCCACCACACTCAATTTTATAACCTTTTATCACTTCAGGAAGAAACCTCACGTCTTTTAGTTATTATTGTCCTTTTTCTGTGTCCCTCCTAGCCCCAAGCAACCACTAATCATCTTTCTATCTCTATAGATTTCCTTATTCTGAACTTCCCTAATGGAATTATACAGAACATGGTCTTTATCACTCTTCATTCTTCAATTATCATGTGTTCAAGGTTTATTCATGTTGTAGTGTTTATCAGTACTTCATTATTTTTTTGTGGCTGAATAATATTCTACTTTAATAATTTACCAACTTTTGTTTATCCATTTATCTGTTATTGAACATTTGAGTAGTTTCCACCACTTGACTTTTATGAATAATGCTGCAATGAATATTTGAGTACAAGTTTTTATGTAGACAAATGTTTTCAACGATCTTCAGTGCATACTTAGGAGCAAAATTGTTGGGTCACATGGCAACTCTACGTTCAATAATTCAAGCAACAGATAAAGAGCTTTCCAAATTGTGTGTAAAATTTTGCATTCCCACTAGCAATGTATTATGCTTTTTAAAAGTCTTGTCAAGAATTTCTCCACATTCTTGACAAGACTTTTCACTTTCTTGATGGTGGCCTTTGAAGCATAAAAGATTTTATTTTTGATAAAGTCTAATTCATCTGTTTTCCTTTTATTACTTATGTGTTTGGTGTCATATTTTAAAATCTTTTGATGAATCCAAGGCAAAAATATTTCACCCCTATGATTTCTCTTGAGAGTTTTATAATTTTATTCCTATACTTAGGTCTTTGATTCTTTTTTAAATTTATTTTTTATTTTTTTACTGTAAGTTCTGGGATACAGGTGCAGAACCTGCAAGTTTGTTACATAGGTATACATGTGCCATGGTGGTTTGCTGCACCTATCAACCCATCACCTAGGTTTTAAGCCCCACATGTATTAGCTATTTGTCTTGATGCTGTCCCTCCCCTCACCTCACAATGTGACAGGCCCTGGTGTGTGTTGTTCCCCTTCCTGTGTCCATCTGTTCTCACTGTTTAACTCTCTCTTATGAGTGAGAACATATGGTATTTGGTTTTCTGTTCCTGTGTTAAGTTTGCTGAGGTTAATGGCTTCCAGCTTCACCCATGTCCCTGCAAACAACATAATCTCATTCCTTTTTGTGGCTGCATAGTATTCCACGGTGTATATATACCACATTTTCTTTATCCAGTCTATCATTGATGGGCATTTCGGTTGGTTCCATGTCTTTCTTTGCTATGTAAATAGTGCTGCAATAAACATACATGCACATGTATCTTTATAAGTGAATGTTTTATATTCCTTTTGGTATATACCCAGTAATGCAATTGCTGGGTCAAATGGTATTTCTGGTTCTAGGACTTTGAGGAATCGCCACACTGTCTTCCAGAATGGTTGAACTAATTTACATTCCCATCAACAATGTAAAAGCATTCCTATATCTCCACAGCCTCGCCAGCATCTCTTGTTTCCTGATGTTTTAATCTCCATTCTTATTGGTGTGAGATGGTATCTCATTGTGGTTTTGATTTGCATTTCTCTGATGATCAGTGATGTTGAGCTTTTTTTCATGTGTTTATTGGCCACATAAATGTCTTCTTTTGAGAAGTGTCTGTTCATGTACTTTTCCCACTTTTTGATGGGGTTGTTTTTTCTTGCAGATTTGTTTTAGTTCCTTGTAAGTTCTGGATATTAGACCTTTGTCAGATGGGTAGATTGCAAAAATGTTCTCCCATTCTGTAGGTTGCCTGTTCACTCTGACAAGAGTTTCTTTTGCTGTGCAGAAGCCCTTTAGTTTAATTAGATCCCATTTATCAAATTTGGCTTTTGTTGCAATTGTTTTTGGATTTTTTTGTCATGAAGTCTTTGCACATGCCTATGTCCTGAGTGGTATTGCCTAGGTTTTCTTCTAGGGTTTTATAGTTTTGGGTTTTATATTTAAGTTTTTCATCCATCTTGAGTTAATTTTGTATGAGGTGTAAGGAAGGGGTCCAGTTTCAGTTTTCTGCCTATGGCTAGCCAGTTTTCCCAGCACCATTTATTAAATAGGGGATATTTCCCCAGTCCTTGTTTTTGTCAGGTTTGTTGAAGATCTGATCCTTGTAGATGTGTGGTCTTATTTCTGAGGTCTCTGTTTTGTTCCATTGGTCTATATGTCTGTTTTGGTACCAGTACCATGCTGTTTTGGTTATTGTAGGCTTGTAGAATAGAAGTCAGGTAGTCTGATGCCTCCACCTTTGCTCTTTTTGCTTAGGATTTTCTTGGCTATGTGGGCTCTTTTTTTGGTTCCATATGAATTTTCATTTAGTTTTTTTCTAATTCTGTGAAGAATGTCAATGGTAGTTTGATGGAACAGCATTGAATCTATAAATTAATTTCTGCAGTATGACCATTTTAATAACACTGATTCTTCCTATCCATGAAATTTTTTTTCATTTATTTGTGTATTCTTATTTCCTTGAGCAGTGGTTTGTATTTCTCCTTGAAGAGGTCCTTCACATCCCATGTTAGCTGTATTCCTAGGCATTTTATTCTCTTTGTAGCAATTGTGAATGGGAGTTCATTCACGATTTGGCTCTCTACTTGTCTATTGTTTGTGTATAGGAATGCTTGTGATTTTTGCACATGGGTTTGTATCCTGAGACTTTGCTGAAGTTGCTTATCAGCTTAAGGAGTTTGGGGGCCGAGATGATGGGATTTTCTAAATAAAGGATCATGTCATCTGCAATCAGAGACACTTTGACTTCCTCTCTTCCTATTTGCATACACTTTATTTCTTTCTCATGCCTGATTGTCCTAGCCAGAACATTTAATACTGTGTTGAACAGGAGTGGTGAGAGAATGCATCCTTGTCTTGTGCTGGTTTTCAAAGGGAATGCTTCCAGCTTTTGCCCATTCAGTACAATATTGGCTGTTGGTTTGTCATAAATACCTTTTAGGATATGTTTCATCAGTACCCAGTTTACTGAGAGTTTTTAGCATGAAGGGATGTTGAATTTTAGTGAAGGCCTTTTCTGCATCTATTGAGATCATCATGTGGTTTTTGTCACTGGTTCTGTTTATGTGATGGATTACGTTTATTGATTTGCATATGTTGAACCAGCCTTGCATCCCAGGGATGAAACCAACTCCATCATGTTGGGTGAGCTTTTCAACGTGCTGCTGGATTTGATTTGCCAGTATTTTATTGAGGATTTGTGCATCGATGTTCATTAGGGATACTGGCCTGAAGTTTCCTTTTTTTGTTGCGTCTCTGCCAGGTTTTGGTATCAGGATGATGCTGGGCTCATAAAATGAGTTAGGAAGGAGTCTCTCCTTTTCTATTGTTCAGAATAATTTCAGAAGGAATGGTACTAGCTCCTCTTTGTACCTCTAGTAGAATTCGGCTGTAAGTCTATCAGGTCCTGGGTTTTTTTTCTTGGGAGGCTATTAATTCCTGCCTCAATTTCAGAACTTGTTATTATTCTATTCAGGGATTCAACTTCTTCCTGGTTTAGTCTTGGGAGGGTGTATGTGTCAAGGAATTTATCCATTTCTTCTAGATTTTCTAGTGTATTTGTGTAGAGGTGTTTACAGTATTCTCCAATGGCAGTTTGTATTTCGAAGAGGTCTGTGGTGATAACCCCTTTATCATTTTTTAATTATGTCTATTTGATTCTTCTTTCTTTTTTCTTTATTAGTCGAGTAGTGGTCTATCGATTTTATTAATTTTTTCACAAAACAGCTCCTGGATTCATTGATGTTTGAAGGGTTTTTGATGTCTCTTAGTTATTTTTTGTCTTCTGCTACCTTTTGAATTTGTTTCCTCTTGCTTCTCTAGTTCTTTCAATTGTGATGTTAGCATATCAATTTGAGCTCTTTCTAGCTTTCTGATGTTGGCATTTAGTGCTATAAATTTCCCTCTTAACACTGTGTTAGCTGCATCCTAGAGACTCTGGCATGTTATCTCTTTGTTCTTATTGGTTTCAAAGAACTTCTTGATTTCTACCTTAATTTCATTATTTACCCAAGAGTAATTCAGGAGCAGATTGTTCAGTTTCCACATAGTTGTGTTGTCTTGAGTAAGTTTTTTTAATCCTGAGTTCTAATTTGATTGCACTGTGGTCTGAGAGACTGTCTGTTATGATTTCAATTCTTTTGCATTTGCTGAGAATGTTTTACTTCCAATTATGTGGTTGATTTTAGAGTAAGTGTTTTGTGGCAGTGAGAAAAATGTATATTCTGTTGTTTTATGGTGGAGAGTTTTGTAGATATCTATTATGTCCACTTGATCCACAGCTGAATTCAAGTACTGAATATGCTTGTTAATTTTCTCTCATTCATCTGTCTAATACTGACTGTGGGGTGTTAAAGTCTCACATTCTTATTGCATGGGAGACTAAATCTCTTTGTAGATCTCCAAGAACTTGTTTTGTGAATCTGGGTGCTCTTGTATTAGGTGCATATATATTTAGGGTAGTTTGCTCTTCTTGTTGCACTGATCCCTTTACCTGCCATTATGTAATATCCTTCTTTGTCTTTTTTGATCTTTGTTAGTTTAAGGTCTGTTTTATCAGAGACTAGGATTGCAACCCCTGCTTTCTTCTGCTTTCCATTTGCTTGGCAAATTTTCCTCCATCCCTTTATTTTGAACCTATGTGTGTCTTTGCACGGAAGATAGGTCACTTGAATACAGCACACTGATGTGTCTTGACTCTTTATTCAATTTGCCAGTCTGTGTCTTTTAACTGGGGAATTTAGCCCATTTACATTTAAGGTTAATATTGTTATGTGTGAATTTGATCCTGTCATAATGATGCTAGCTGGTTACTTTGCATAGTAGTTGATGCCGTTTCTTCATAGTGTCATTGGTGTTCACATTTTCGTGTGTTTTGCAGTGGCTGGTCCCAGTTTTGTCTTTCCATATTCAGTGCTTCCTTCAGGAGCTTTTTCAAGGCAGGCTTGGTGGTGATGAATTCCCTCAGCATTTGCTTTTCTGGAAAGGATTTTATTTCTCCTTAGCTTAGGAAGCTTATTTTGGCCGGATATGAAATTCTGGGTTAAAAATTCTTTTCTTTAAGAATGTTGAATATTGGCTCCCACTCTCTTCTGGCTTGTAGGGTTTCTGCTGATAGATGTGCTGTTAGTCTGATGGGCTTCCCTTTGTAGGTTACCTGGCCATTCTCTGTGGCTGTCCTTAACAATTTTTCCTTCATTTCTGCCTTGGAGAATCTGCTGAGTATGTGTCTTCGGGTTGATCTTCTCATGGATTATCTTAGTGGGGTTCTCTCTAGTTCCTGAATTTGAATGTTGGCCTGTCTTGCTAGGTTGGGGAAGTTCTCCCAGATAATATCCTGAAGTGTGTTTTCTAACTTGGTTCTGCTCTCCTCATCTCTTTCAGGTAATCCAATCAGTCATAGGTTCATTGTTTTATTTTTTTATTTGTTTTTTGTTTTTTTTTTTTTTACATAGTCCCATATTTCTTGGAGGTTATGCTTGCTCCTTTTCATTCTTTTTTCTCTGATCTTGTCTGCCTGCCTTATTTCAGCAAGATAGTCTTCTATCTCTGATAGTCTTTCTTCCACTTGATTGATTCAGCTATTGATACTTGTGTAGGTTTCATGAAGTTCTCATGCTGTATTTTTCATCTGCATCATGTCATTTATGTTCTTCTCTAAACTGGTTATTCTAGTTAGCAGGTCCTGTAACCTTTTATCAAGGTTCTTAGCTTCTTTGCATTGGGTTAAAACATGCTCCTTTACCTCAGCAAAGTTTGTTATCACCCACCTTCTGAAGCCTACTTGTGTCAGTTTGTCCATCTAATCCTCCATCCAGTTCTGTGTCCTTGCTGGAGATGTGTTTGTGTTGCGGTCATCTGGAGGAGAAGGGACACTCCGGCCTTTTGGGTTGTCAGCGTTTCTTCATTGATTGTTTCTTATCTTCATGAGTTTGTCTAATTTTGATCTTCGAGGCTGCTAACCTCTTGGATGAGGTTTTAGTGGGGACGTTTTGTTGAAACTGTTGTCGTTGATTTCTGTTTGTTTGTTTTTCTTTCAACAGTCAGGTCCCTCTTCTGTAGGGCTGCTGCACTTTGCTGGGGGTTGACTTCAGGCCCTATTCATCTGGTTGGCTCCTGCACCTGGAGATGTCACTCAAGGAGGCTGGAGATCAGCAAAGATAGGTGCCTGCTTCTTTGTCTGGGGCACCGACCTGATGTCAGCAGGAACGCTCCTGTATAGGATGTCTGACAACGCCTGTTGGGGGGGGGGTCTCACCTAGTTGGGTGACACGGGAAGCAGGATCCATTTAGTGAGACACTTTGGCTGTCCCTTTTTGCAGGGGATGTGCTGTGCTGGGTGGAAACCCACTTGTCTGGGCTGCCCGGGTTCCTCAGAGCTAACAGGAGGACAGACTATGTCTGCTGCTCTTCAGAGACTACAGCCACTCCTCCCACTAGGACCACAGGCCCAGGGAGATCAGAGTTCTGTCCCTGAGTCCTTGGCTAGAGTTGGAGTTCCTGCAGGGAGGTTCTGCAGCCACACTGTTGGCTGCTGCTCCTACCACAAGGAACTGAGACAGCTTAGACCACCAGCACTGGCAGCCAGAAGTGGTGATGGTGCCCCCTCCCCTCCGGGAACTCTGCAGGCCCAGGCCAAATCTAGTCAAGTGGATGTTGAGAATTTATGCGGCTCCATGGTTAGGGCCCAAGACCCGGGGTGGTGTGGGCTCCTGTGTGGGATCTTCGGATCCGTAGGTTGCACAGTTCCGTGGAAAAAGTGCCGTTTCCCAGGCTGGGTGGCATGCTCACTCACCACCTCCCTTGGTTGGGGGTGGGGGCACCTCTGCCTTATGTGGCTGTCAGGTGTGCCACTGCACCACACTGTTCTTCCTTCCTCTCCCTGGGTCACACCAGCTGCCTAGTCAGTCCTGATGACAGAAACTGGATACCTTGGTTGCCAGTGCGGGGTTCCCAAGCTGTTTTGGATCTTCTCGATGGGAGCCTCTGATTGCTGCTGCTTCTAGTGGGTCATCTGGGCCCCACTTCCTGATTCCTTTTGAGTTAATTTTTGTGCATGGTATACAGTAAGGGTCTAACTTTATTCTTTTTTATACAGATTTATAATTTAGTTTTACTCCAGTCTCAGATAATATGTTTCATAATTTGAATCTTCTTAATATTAAGACTTTTATTTAGTTCAGAATACAGTCTATCTTAGTCAAAGTTCTGAATGTACTTGAAATAAAAATGTGTATTCTGCTTCATGCATTGTATTACTTTTCCCCAGTCTTTATTTCTCTTTGCTTTTCAGTTTTGAGGTTTTATTGAAAAATCCTCAAGCTCAGTGATTGTTTGTTCAACCATGTCCAGTCCACTGATGAGCCTATTAAAAGCATTCTTTATTTCTGTAACAGCGTTTTTAATATCTAGCATTTCTTTTAGAGGTTTACTTATAATTTTCATCTCTCTGCTTACATTATTCATCTTTTCTTGCATGCTTCTATCTTATCCATTAGACCCCTTACCACATTGATTCCTAGTCTGATAATTCCCACATCTCTACCGTATCTGAGTCTTCTTCTTCTGCTTGCTCTGCCTCTTCAAAGTGTAGTGTTTTGTTTTGTTTTTTGCTTCAGTATGCCTTGACATTTTTTCATGACAGCCAGACATAATGTAGTGAGTAAAAAGAAGACACTGGTTCTTACATGAGGTGTGTACTCTGGTAAGTTATGATTCTCTATAGTTGCCTTTCTGTCTCTCCAATTTGGGGGGCAGCAGTTTGCACAGTAAACTAATTTCTCAAATAGATCTAAGAATAATTGATTTTTCAGTTTGTTCAGCTTTTTACTTGCTAGAATGGTAAAACAACTTCCAAGTTTTTAACATGCCAAACCATAAAGCAGAAGTTGGCCCCATTTATTTTGAAGCTCTGTCTTTAGGTAAACAAATATTCAAGATTATTTTGTATTTTTGATTGCTGGACATTTTTAGTATTTTTTAAAACCCTTCACTTACCTCTGGTAATAATTCTTGCCCTGAAAGAAATATACTTTGTCTCATATTAGTATCACTATTGCAACTTTTTTGATTCATGTTAGCATAGTATATCTTTTCATATATATATAAAGTATGTATATTTCATTCTATATGTATATATATATTTAAAGTAAGCTTCAGCTTCATGTTGAAAACACATAGGTAGGTCTCACTTTTTAATCTAATCTTGACTCTCTCTACATAGAATTAGGTATTTAAACAATTACTTCTAAGGCACTTATTGATTCATATGAGTTTAAATTTACCATCTTATTTATGTTCTATTCTTTTAGTCATTATTTTTTGTTTTCTTTTTCCTGTTTTTCTGCATTTCTGTGGATTGAGTATTTTTTGTGATTCTATTTCATCTTCTTTACTGAATTATTAACTATACTTTTATTTACTTTTTAGTGGTTGCATTTTGGTTTACAGGGTTTTTTTGTTTGTTTGTTTGTTTGTTTTGAGACGGATTCTTGCTCTGTCACCCAGGCTGGAGTGCTGTGGCGTGATCTTGGCTCACTGCAAGCTCCGCCTCCCGGGTTCATGCCATTTTCTTGCCTCAGCCTCCCAAGTAGCTGGGACTACAGGCGCCCACCACCACGCCCAGCTAATTTTTTGTATGGGGTTTCACCAGGTTAGCGAGGATGGTCTCGATCTCCTGACCTCGTGATCTGCCCGCCCTGGCCTCCCAAAGTGCTGGGATTACAGGCGTGAGCCTATCAAGTCTACTTTAAGTAGTAATATATACTTTCATATATACCTTTTAAGCTTAAAACAGTATACTTCCATTTTCCCTACTCTGGTCTTTGTACCACTGTTCTCATAATTTAACTTTTACATATATTATAAAACCCATAGTACATTGTAATTTTTATTTTAAATAATCAATTATGTTTCAAAGAGATTATAAAAACAAGAAAAGGTGGTTTTTAATTTATCCATATGTTTACCTCAAGTGATCTGCCCACCTCGGCCTCCCAAAGTGCTGGGGTTACAGGTGTGAGCCACTGGACCTGGCTTCAAGTTCATTTCTTGTAAGTGATGCAGATGTGTAGTTTTGATCATAAAACCTGACCTATGAGGAAAGCTTCTGGAAAGCTTCCAATAACATTCTATACCTTGCTGTGGGAAACAGCTCCTGAAAATTCACTACTACTGTGGTGCCATGGGATAAGCTGCAACGTCTCTTTTTTCCCATAATCACATTTCTAAAAATACCTCCTTACTCACAAAGAATAGCTATTTCTTTTAAAAAATTACAAAATTGGTATAGAACTACAAAAGATACAAAATAGCCAAAGCAATTCTGAGCAAAAAGCTGGAGGCATCACACTACCAGACTTCAAAATATACTACAAAACTATAGCAACTAAAACAGCACGGTAGTGACATAAACACAAACACAGAGACCAAAGAAACAGAATATAGAACACAAAAACTAATCTATGTCTATAGTCAACTGATTTTTACAAAGGTGGGGGAAGTTCTCTTCAATAACAGTGTTAGGAAAACTGGATACCCATATGCAGAAAAATGAAACTAGACCCCCCACCTCACACTCTATATAAAAAACAACTCAAAATGAATTAAAAAACTAAATATAGGACTCAAAACTTTAAAACTACTAGAAGAAAACACAGGGAAAATGCTTCAGGACATTAATTTAGGAAAAGATTTTATGAGCAAAGATCCCAAAAGCACAGGCAACAAAAGCAAAAATAAACAATAGGAGTATATCAAACCAAAAAGTTTCTACACATCTGAGGAAACAGTTAACACTGTGAGAAGGCAACCTGCAGAAATAGGAGAAAATATTTGCAAACTACTGTTTCCACAGGGGATACAAACTCCACAGGGGATACTACTGTTTCCAGAGTATACAAGGAACTCAAACATCTCAACAGAAAAGAAACAAACAGTCCAATTAAAAAACAGTTAAATCATCTAAACAGATATTTATCAAAAAAAGAGACATACAAATAGCCAAGAAATATAAGAAAAAATGCTCGACATCACTTATCATCAGGAAAATGCAAATCGAAAACACAATGAAATATCATCTTACCCTAGTTAGGGTGGCTATAATAAAAAACATAAAAAGTAACAAACGCTGATGAGGATGTGGAGAAAAGGTAAACCTGTACACTGCTAGTGAGAATGTAAACCAACGCAGCCACTATGGAGAACAGTGTGAAGTGTCCTCAAAAAAACTGCAAATAGAAATACTATACGATTCAGCAATCCCACTACTGTGCATTTATTTACCCAAAGGAAAGGAACTCAATATATTGAAGAGATAGCTGCACTCCCATGTTTAATGCAGCACTATTCACAATAGCCAAAATAAGGAATCAAACCAAGTGTCCAACAACAGATGAATGGGTAAAGAAAATATGGCATATATACACAATGGAATACAATTCAGCCACAGAAAAAGAAAGAAATCCTGTCATTTGCAGCAACATGGATAAAAGTGGAGGACATTATAATAAGTAACTCAAGCCAGAAACAGAAAGTTACACATTACATTCTCTCACTTGTATGGAAGCTGAAAAAACAGTTGATCTCCTGGAAGTAAAAATTAGAACAAAGTTTACTAGAACCTGGGAAGGACACATGGAGGAGGGGAAAGGGGAATAGAGAGAGATTTGTTGAAGGACACAAAATTATAGCTAGATAGGAGGAATAAGTTATATTGTTCTACATCACTGTAGGATAGCTACAGTTAACCAAAACATATCATATATTTTCAAATAGCTGGAAAGGAGGATATTGAATGTTCCCAAAACAAAGAGATAATAAATGTTTGAGATGATGAATCTGCTAATTACCCCGATCTCATCTGAATGTATCAAACCATCACTATGTAATCCTTAAGTATGTATAATTATTACATGTCAATTTTTTTAAAATATAGCTATTTCTTATAAAAATGGGACTATGGGAAGTTTACTTGATATTTAACCAAAGGAATTATTTAATAAGAAATGTATCTCTGCAGTCATCTACATACATTGCCTTTGCAAAAGATATTACATATACTAGGCACACAATAAAAGTCAGAGAAATAAAGAAAAATAAGCAGATTGAAGAACAAGGAACTCAAAAATAAATAAAAAATGTACAGGTGTTCTTGGGTAGTAAATAGCATAAAGTAACAAAGCCCATGCTATTCTTAATAGGGAAACACCCAAAGCAGAAACATCTGTGCCTTTCCCATTTTCAAATAAATTCAGTCTAGCAACATGATACAGATCGATTGATGCAGTTTACATGGATGCAAAACATCTGCAGCTCTTAACAGACCTATTTCTAAGAACTATATCTGGAGGTTAAGTGTTATGGAGCCTCTGGCTGCAGTCATCATTAAGTCCCAGATCTTTATAGAGAAAAAAAGTAAAAATGAAATTTGCATAAAATATTATCTATTTAATACTTTATTCATAATCACACCTATACATTTGTAAGTATTTCCTATGCTGTCCTACAAAATTGTGGTAATTAATCTTAAAGTAATCCTCTTTGAGCTATAAGTACTTATGCTCCATAAAGCAGAGGATTTTGTTTATTTCAGACAAAGGAGTGATTAAAAATGGAAATAAAACAAATTGAGAGAAAACAGTGAAATGAAGTCAAGGAATTCATCAGCTAGAAATTAATATCTGTCTCCTGGGACAGCTGCCCATTACTAAATTCCTAAGAATTGGATTCGTTATATTTACAGGCTGTGTAGACAAATATCTATTCACATTGTGTACATAAAAAAAAAAAACCTTGAAAAAAAACCAACAAAGTTCCTCCGCATTGGAACTCTGCAGAAATAAGGTGAATGAACATATTGTCATGGGACTTGTATTGCAGAACTCTGAAACCGATGAGTAATAGGCACCATATATAGCCATAAAAATACAGATAGAAGTGGACTCAAAGAGGTTTAACCATGTCTATAGATAGACAGCCTCATATACAACAGATAAAAAACAGGGTAAAGGGGTAATGCTTGAAACAGTATTTGAATTTTTAGGAAAATATCTCCCTCTGTGCAAAAAAAAAAAAAAAAAAAAAAAAAAGGCACAAGTAAGTGAAGATATGCTGCCTGGTGACGACCATCTCTAAAGCCACACTGTGTAGCTGATCTGCACATTTTGAGCATCAGGATCATAAGTATAAATATGGACAAAGGCCTCCAAAACCCTACCTTTTTGTATCAACAGGCACTCATATGTTCATTGCAACACTAGTCACAACAGAAAAGGTATATGATCAACCTAGATGCCCAGTGATGATGGCCTGAATAAACAAAATGTGGTACATATACTCGATGGAATCCTACACAGCCGTAACAAAGAATAAAATCATGTCCTTTCCAGCAACATGGATGCAGCTGGAGGCCATTATCTTAACCAATTACTGCAAGAACAGAAATGCCAACCACATGTTCTCTAACTTACAAGTGGGAGATAAACATTGAGTGCACATGGACACAAACATGTGAATAGACACTAGGGCTTACTTGAGGGTGGAGGGTGAGAAAAGAATGAGAGTTGAAAAGCTACCTCTCGGGTACTATGTTCACTGCCTGGGTAATAAGCTCATTTGTACATCAAACCCTAGCGACATGTGACTTACCCATAGAGCAAACCTGCACGTGTACCTAATGAACCTAAAATAAAGGTTGAAAAAGGAAAAAAAATTGCTAGTAAGAAGCTGAAATGAAATGGCTACTTATTGAATATCTCTGGTCTGCAAGGTACCACGTTACTTCCTTTTGTTATCCTTGCAAATTTTTCAAGATTAAATAAACAGAAACTACATCTAATCTATTCACTTCAGGGATGACACAGAAAGAAGAAAGAGGTGACACTTTAATGGGGTGACACAGAAAGCCATGTTTCTCCCCTAAGGAAAATATTCATTTTCATTTTGATACCAATTAGGAAGCGACTCTCCCAATTTGCCAAATATCTACCATGAGCACATTCAACATCAGTGAATTGATGATAACTTTTCATGAGTGGTACAACTTCACAATTCCTTATCTGTACTTGTGAGATCCAAAAAGCTCTAAAAACAAAAGTGCTTTATAACATTTTTGGCAACAATACCTAACCTGAACTGATATTTATAGGCCTTTCTAAAATTATACTTCATGTAACTATTCATTCATCTTGTCATAAACATGTTAAAATTAGATTGTGGGATCCTGCTCCACGCCACACAGGAGCTGTTACATAATACGCAGTTTATGTCCATAATAATTTTCTAAAATCTAAAAATTCTGCTTTTAAAACACATTTAGCCCCAAAAGTTTCACATAAGGGATTCTGGATCTATACTACACATGATTTAAAACTTGGGATCTTCATTTGTCTAGTAAAATTATTTTAAAGAAGGACAGTGTTCAGAAAAAAATATTTACTAAACTATCTAATCCATGTTAGATTTTTAAAGTTATATTGTAAAATAAGCTTTAATCCACAGATAATTTATCCTGCCTGCCAAATCCTTTATAATTATTTGTCAAGCCACCAAAAATATTATTCACATGTTCAGACAAATATTAATCATATTAATCACATTTTTAATATTAATTTGCAATTTTTGATTTCAGATGGCTCGTGTTAAATTGGTTTATTGTCAAGAGCTGATTTCGTTTTAAGTGGCAAATAGCCATTTGGAAAATTGTTATTTATTTTCTTTAGGATGTAGACACACAGGGGCTGGAGGCCAAATGATTTTTAGGCCAGGAATTATACTTCCTCCTTAACCACTTTGACAATGAGACTGTCTCTGATGAGCACTATAGGCTGGTGCTATGGACCTTGAAGAAAGCAAATGAATATCGACTTGTGGTGATAAGATGGCATGCCTCGGGAGGATCTCCAGTATTCACAAAAGACAGAAACTGAGAAGTAATGACACCTGCATCACTCCGTGAATAAAAAGGAGCTGTGGAATGTCAAGGGAGGATAGGAATTGCTAAGTGGGCAGTATACCCTTCATGCCCACAAAGAAATAGAAGAGATCTTTGAGCTCACTCGGTCTCAGACATCAGAAAAACAAGTGTGCAGTCCTCCAGACCCAGAGATTACAATGCTGTGAAGTCTCGCCTGGAAAATACAGTCTTGAAGAATGCCTGTGAATTTAATGAAATTGAGTAACATTTAACATTCTCATCAAAACAACCTTGCAATGATTTTCAGATTCTCAGATAATCCTATTTACTGACTTTTTCAAATATAGCATGGGTTACTTTGGAATAGCAACTTAGTTAAAAAGACAATACAGATCTTAATTTTCTTGGATGTCCTTTCCTTGAAGTTTCAAAATCAATTGCTAGTATCCAAATAAAATTGATTAAATGTGAGTCACTATAATGTGGACCATTAGAGTTGATATTTATATTCTCTGGCAGCAGCCCTGTGAATAATAGGTAAAAGGAATGAGAACAATTCAATTGTCTAGGAATTCAGTTTGCCTTGAACAAACACAAAAATGGTGACTGACTATCAGAGCAGAATCTGAATTATCCCCACATTGTAAATTAGGGCTAAAATATTTCCAAATAGCCTTACATTCATTTTCCCTTTTTAGTTATTCTGTTTAGGAATATTGGGTACATTTATTTTTTCAATCAAAATATGCAAGACAGCTGGAAACTCCCAATAATAGCTCCACTTAGAGCTGAGCATAGATAGAAATTGTCCTTCATAGTTCACTGGTGGCTCTTAACCAGAAGCAGCATCATTACCTGAGAATTTCATACAAAATTCTCACGCCCCATCTGAGACCTACTGATTGCAGGCCTCTAGAGGTAAAACATTCCCTCCAGATGAATGAGGCACCTTCAAGTTTGGGAACCACTGATTTGTATTATGAAATTCTATAAGGAACAGATGTACAGATTAGGAAATTGTCTGACCTCAGGAATTATTGGCTGATTTGGGGTTCTCTCTGCATAATAATCCATGATGTGTTAACACTGAATCTGAAGTCAATGTCCCCTCATGTCATCTTGAGTGGACACTCACAAAATGAACAAGAAACGGGGGCTATGTAGAACTGCCTGGCCATCCTTCTCAGAATGATATATGGATGACAAATTTCAGAAGGGCCTGGATATATGGAAAAGTGCTCTAGACAGTGGGAAGCAAAGGACCCATTTCTCCAAAAACCACAAAGTCCGTGGCCCTGGGGGCCAGATTAATTAGGGGAGATCAATGCTCTCTAATTTACAAACTAGATGGTTACAGTCTGTGTAAATTCTGTATTTAACCTCCAATTAAGGGTCCTTTAGCATTTGAAATATTATTTTGAAAGTTTCAGCCTGTCTTCAACAGGCCAAAGTGAACTAAGGGCCAGAATGCAATAAAGAGCCTCACCACCTCAGGCCAGCATGGTAGCATGGAGGAAAAGAGTGTCACAAAACCTTAAGACAAAGTCAGAATTCAAGAAGGCAGGTGTCACAAAGTGAATGACCCTGATTTAGTAGACCTTTAATCCTATGCCTAACCTTGTCTGTTCTGCAAAACATTCTCTTATATCTGACAAAATCCAGTGAACCTGCATTCCACAGTGTTGATGGTCGAATCATCCTTTTAGTTTCAATGAAGAAGTAGAATTCACAGTGAAGGAACTCAGCAAGAAGTTGAATGATGTAGCTTCATCCACTAGCAGAGAGCAGGTCAGATTCCCACAGCTTACCATGACCTCACTGTACCCAGGTCCATGGCTGCTTGATGAATGGCCGATCCTCCCTAGATGCTGCCTGGTTAAAATTGACTCAGAGAAGTGAGACTGAATCTACAGAGAAGGTGAGCACAGAAAAAATAAGAGAAAAGAGAGACACATCGACCCAAAAGGCAAAGCAGACTTGAACCACTTCGTTTCAGAATAAAAAGAGCTCTTATACGAAAAGAACATGAGGATATTATAGCATCACAGAAGAACAAAGCAACTGTTTAACAAAGATATGACTCCAATTAAGGTGACAAGAAATACAAATTATGAAATTAGAGAGGGGTATTGCAGCTCAAATGTAGGTTCCAAATCAACTTAATTCTAGAAAATTAAAGTTTTAAATTTTTATAATGTAAACATGATCTTGGTGTACACTGCACGTTATATCAGGAACTTAATATGTTTATAATAAATTGTCAATATTAATGTAAAATTAGCACTCAAAGTGAAATAATTTTTTCCAATTCTATTATTAAATGTGCTCAGCAGCACAGTACCTCTTCCTAATACCAATATTCATAAACACACTCCCACACAATTTTTGTCTTTCATTCTATTTTCTATCAAAAGAAATCAGTGATCCTTGGAGAGTACTTGTTTCAATGTCCTGCTAAGAAAGAAAATCGAGATGATCGAGGAGTATTTTATTATTTGTCATAAACCAAAGAAAACATAATCTGATATATGTTTGTAAAGTTGCCAAAGTGAAAAGTGAACTAAAATAAATGGACACCCACTGGCCAACTTGACCATTTGTACATACACTTAATTAGAGTAGTTATCTGAACAAAAGCTATCAGTCAAAGTGGCAAATGAAGGAAGGGCAAGTAAAATTTTCCAAAATACATTTTACAGGAAAAGCTGGATGATATGCAATTAAAATTACCAGTATATCCTGTTCACTTTTTGGTTACTACCTAGGCCTATAAATCACAGAATTCAACCTAAAGCCTTAAAAATAAACTTAAACATTAGGTCAGAGTTATATATAAATTATAGGACCCTGAGTCGTGTAATCCTGATGAAGTAAAATCTAAAAGTACATTATTTCAAGAAAGAGAAAATTATGTGATTGGCTAAGACTAGGAAACCCCAACATAAGGTCATCACCTCAAAACTTACATTTTAAATTATTTTGTGGTAAGTAGGGAGGTCAGCTATGCAATGAATCATCTTGGAATCATCCTTGATCTAACATCAGCATATCTGAGACAATGAGAATTCTTTCTCTTTGGGAACCGATAAGATTATTGTAACAGCCTACACACACACACTGACACACACGATCAGTCTGATGGCAATAATATTTTTGTTCTATATTTTTGCCAATGCTTTTGAAATTATTATCAGATTTAAATGTTTTCAGGTGTTTGAAATACTTAAAATGCATTTTATTAGTTTCATAAGACTAATCTATTTACTTTATGAAATATATTTCAGTATTCACAGTTAATTTTAACTGATAGTTTTGTAAGTTGATTTTTAGGGATTTTAAGAGTATAAGAGAATCTTACAGACTTGTGATTTTAGTTTAGCAGGATTTTATTAATTTAATAATCAGACCTTAAAATTTAAGAAAAACTAATCTATTCACTACATACTTAACATGTTTAATAATTAAACTATTGTTTACTGAAATTACAAGTCAAATTCATTGACCATAAATCAAGATCAAAGTGTTTACGAAAGGTCCTCCATGATGTACAAAAAGCCTTTGGCAGTAAAGAGCTTTTACCAGATCTGAATCATGAAGGGGAGTTTACATTTCCTTATAACATTTTCTTTAAAGGATACAGGAATGTAGAATATGTTTTTGAAAAGTAATTCTATAAAAAGTAATGAAAACAGATTTTTTGTTCTTAAAGGAATATTTGTCAATTATTTGGAAAATGCATGCATATGAAACACTTCATTCCCTACCAATATGGGATAAATGAAGTGCTGCTGGTACTCACTGGTTGGTTTATTGAAGGCATCCATCATATAACGATGCTTTCTTAATAAATTTGCACATCTGAAATAACAACCTGCTACTTTTCTAGCAATTTTCAGACATAGCCTAAATTTCCAATGTGAACTAATTTAAAAAAGCATGAACAAAAGTTTCTATTGAGAAATCAAGGTATTCTTCTAGGCTTGTAGAATCATAAAGCTGGAAGAAACTTTAGAAATCATCCTAGCCCAATAACCTCATTTTACAGGTAAAAGAACTAGACAAAGAAAGTTGATTGATTTATCTATTTTTACAGCTAGTTAGTAAAGAGAAGACTGTATCAATATCTTATAACTCCCAATCTTATGGTTTTTTCCAATTAGGGGTCCTCATTTTAGTTTATATACAGCTGTCATTTTAGTCCACAAGATTCTATTTCTCTCTATTGACAAGGAAAAAAAATCTACTATGAGAAAATACCTACTCTGAAAGAGACTCTCTGTATAGCTCTGCCCTCCTGAATTGCATGTCCAAATTGCATTGGAAAAAAATGAGGTAATCATACTAGTAATAATAGTAATGGTTATTACTATTTATTTCTACTGACAGTGTGACATTGTGCTTCCTCCATCCATTCATGTTTCTGACATCAATCTTTGGATTTTAGCCTCCACAATATCTCGTGAGATCACTAGCAGAAGGCCTCATTATCCCCATTTTACATAGGACACCAAGGCAGGTGGGCCTTTCTAAAAGACTACCAATTCATATCTCTATGGGGCCACAGAGTTAGAAATCAATACATAGTAACTCCAATTGAAAGAACAGAGGAAGTGATGGAAATTTGGCACCTGAAGAGTTTATGCCCATGTAAAATACATTCAATCATATTACACATACATATACTGTGTGTGTGTGTGTGTGTGTGTGTGTGTGTATAAATACTCAAGGACCACATAACTATGCTTCAGTCAATGACTGACTGGGGATATACAACACTGGGCCCTTAAGGTTATAATGGAGCTGAAATATTCCTATCATCTAGTGACATCTTGTTGATTCTGACCCTATGAAAGCTTAGGCTAATGTGTGTGTTGGTGTCTTGGTCTTTAACAAAAAAGTTTAAAAACTAAAAAAAATAAAAATAAAAATTTTTTAAATATAAAAAAACTTATCGAATAAGGATATAAAGAAGTATTTTTGTACAGCTGTACAATGTGTTTGTGTTTTAAGCTAAGTGTTATCCTAAAAGAGTCAAAATGTTTAAAAAATTTAAAATTTAGAATGCACAAAAGTTGTAGTAAGCTAAGATGAATTTATTATTGAAGAAAAAGATTGTAACTAAATTTAGGTTTACCTAAGAGTACTGTGTTCATAAAGTTTACAGTAGTGTACAATAATGTCCTAGGCCTTCACTTTCACTCACCATTCACTCACTGACTCATCCAGAGTGACTTCCAGTACAGCAAGCTCCATTCATGGTACTTGCCCTATACAGGTATACTATTTTTTTAATCATTTATAGTTCATTTTCACTGTATCATTTGTATGTTTAGATATGTTTAGATACACAAATACTTATCATTGTGTTATAATTGCCTACAGTATTCAGTACAGTAACACTGTGTACAGGTTTACAGCCTATAAGCAATAGGTCATACTACACAGCCTAGGTATGTAGTAGGCTGTACCATCTAGGTTTGCATAAATGCACTCAACGGATGATGATGACATCGTCGAATAACTCATTTCTCAGTATGTATCCCTGACATTAAGCAGCACATGGCTCTATCTAGATATTTATATATACGTATGTATGTATACATTAAAGGTATATTTCACAGAGAGAAAGATAGAAAGATAGACTATATAGACTGTTCAGGCCAAACACTATGGTTAGGCTTTTCACATATGGTCTTCACTTTCTGCTATAGAGTGTTATCCTAGAATAGCAACTCTCAATGTTTTTTTCTTCAGGATCTCTTAAAATTTATTGAGGACCCCAAAAAGCTTTTCTTTATATGAGTTACATCTGTAGATATTTACCATAGTAGAAATCAAAACTAAGAAACTGCAAAATATAAATTACTAATATATTTTAAATTACTAATAAATTTCACATTAACACAAATAACATAGTTTATGAAAAGTAACTATGTTGTTCAAAATAAAAACAAAGAAAAGTTGCATAGCATCTTTTATATTTTTGTAAATCTCTTTATTTTTTAATTTTTTGTTGGTTTGTTTTTTGAGGTAAAGTCTCACTCTGTCGCCCAGGCAGGAGTGCAGTGGTGGCATCTCAGCTCACTGCACCTCAGCCTCCCAGGGTCAACTGATTCTCCTGCCTCAGTCTCCTGAGTAGCTGGGATTATAGGCACATGCCACCATGCCCGGTTAATTTTTGTACTTTTAGTAGGATGGGGTTTCACCATATTGGCCAGGCTGGTCTCAAACTCCTGACCTCAAGTGATCTACCCACCTCGGACACCCAAAGTACTAGGATTACAGGCCTGAGCCACCATGCCCGGCCGTAATCTCTTTAAAATACGTGTTAATAGAAGACAGCTGGATTCTCATATCTGCTTCTGCATTAAATCTGTTGTTTTGATTGATGTACAGGAAAAATTCTGGACTCCCAAGGTAGTAGTTGGAAAAGGGAGGGCTTCATAAGCCCCCCAGAAGTGTCTTGTGGACCCCCTGAAAATGCTTCCAGATCCCCAGTCCTCAGATCACACCTTGGGAACTACTGTCTGTCACCCTACAGTAAGGGAGGAAACAACAGCAGAACTTCATGTTAGCTCAGACCAGCTGCAGATGCTCATCTGAACTTTGAGAATGGTCAAATAAAAGTAAAACCTGATGGAACACCACTGTGACTGTCTATGCTTTCCTGTTTTGGAGATAGGTCTGCCACAGGACTTCATATTTCTGCCAGAGATCCATGCATACTTCTCTTTGTTCTATGTTTG
This sequence comes from Homo sapiens, assembly GCF_000001405.40. Classification (NCBI taxonomy): domain Eukaryota; kingdom Metazoa; phylum Chordata; class Mammalia; order Primates; family Hominidae; genus Homo; species Homo sapiens. Next base: position 52,866,731 of record NC_000002.12, read on the forward strand.
ACACTGTAATAAGCAACAGCCATTGCTACACACCCTTTGTTAATTTCATCAAAATTTCTATCTGTATATATCTATGTCTATACCTATCTCTATCTTTCTATCTATATAAAATCATGGGCTGCCAACAGTACACTATAAACTAGAAGAATTTTTGCATATCTTTAAAAGAAAATTCCTCTGTAGCTCACTCTGAGTTGTTCATCGGTAAGGAAGAGGCCTACTAAAGCGAAGATATAACCAAAATAAAGAGCTGAAGAATGACACCTTAAATACATGTCATCAGTGAAGGCAAATATAGTCCTGCCCATCAAAATCCCACACTCCATTTTAGGAATAGAGCAAGTATACAAATACGTGGTAGAAAGAGTTGGCTGCCGTGTCAAAAGTCAGGCAGGCTCATAGACTTGTACTTTCTTTCAGAGCTTCATTATGACAACCACAATTACATGCTTTCTAGTACTCAGTCAAGGCTGTAAGCCTTCCTGTAAAGATGAGCTATGAAAAAAAAATCCAAGGCTGCTCAGAGATTGCAACAGATCATTACCATTTCCTCCCACTTCTCATAGACTATGCTTGACAGAGAAGTATGATATTGGTATCTTTCCAAATTATGCACATGCGCGCACACACACACACACACACACACACACACACACATCATAAGCCTGAAAAGTAAACAACCTTCAGTCCTTTTGTCTTGGGTGGCAATATCAATTCCTCACAATTAAAAGAAAAAAGTCTCTACATGGTACTCTTCAAACTCCAAACAGCGCTGGCTGGCCACTATTTCAAAAGAAAGTATATTTGTCATTGTCAAACTTGTTTACATGAATCAAGCAACAACATCACCACAGGAGGACTATCATATTGTTTTCTTCCCCCTCCTTCTCTTCCAGGTTTCAAAGCAAGGTCTATGATATTGAAAATGCATTTAAGTAGGTTTAAATAAGACTTTTTTTTCCCCTAAAAGCAGGTGGATTTTAATAACATCCCCCAGTTCACAAGCACTCAATTCTGTAAGTGTTGTAAACAGAGGCGAGATGGGAGGGATAGTGTAGTGTGTTTGGAGAGGAGTATCTGCATTTTCCTTTTTTTCAGCTGAGCTGACACTTCGTATTTTCATTTACCTTTGTTTATTTCTGCATATCTTCACAAATGCAAAAACTCATGCATTCAGATTTTGCAAGCCACTGCTAAGTGGTGGTTATTTTGTTATGTCTTTGGAAAAATATTTCCCAGCAGATTTGGATGATATGTAAAACCTGATCTGCTGTAACCCAGTCTTTCTTTGGCTTTTTATAATATCTGTGGTAATAATCAAGAAAAGATTCAAAACAGATTTGTTTGCCATAAAGTCTGACTATATGGCCTATGGTATGCAGAATGATTAAAAAAAAAACAACTGAGGACACATACCAGAATTTACTGTCTAAAACTGGTGTCATTGAAACAGACAAATGTTTGCAAAAATAATACTGTGTTATCATTAATTAAAGGAGGGTGGGTTTTTAGTCCAGCCTGTCTTATAAGTTATTTTAAAAGAACGAGAGGTTCAGAATAATCATTAATTCTTTTACCAAATATTTTAATATTGCTGAGCTAAATATCTGTGACCTATGTAAATTATTTAGCCTGTTTGAACCTCAGTATAAAAGTAACAATTGCTTTGATACTAACTGGATGTTTTACCTCAGACAATAATAATAGATAATAACTGCAATGTGTTTTGCACTATAAAAATACCTTTGCATTCATTATCTTGGTCTTTTTAGAGATTTTTGTCTGCTTTTGTCAGAAAAAAATGCAGTATGTCTACTTAAATTTGAATTTTATTCGATAAATTTTATTTTTAGTATAATTATGCCCCAAGCATGGAACACGCTGTATTTTTATTTGCCATATCTGACAACTCTATACTTGGAACAGCTGAGGCAGAGCGTTAGGCAACTTACCTGACATCACCCAGGTTTTTGACCCTATTCTTTTGACTCCATATCTAGTGGGATTTCACCGTGCTACCAATGCACTCAGGCTCTCTGAAACTCAATTTTTTAGTCTTCGGAAAGAAACAAAACAATTTATAAAATATGATAAAAATGGGTCCAAACCAGGTAACTATGAAAGTTCCTTCCATTTGTGAGAGACCGTGTTCATAGGGAAGGATGAGGGTAACGTGGAACAATGCTACAGCTATTACAAAGACAGCATTAGTCAAGGTTCCTGGTTGTAATAAACAGAACCCATTGCACCTCATTAAGCAAAAAAAGAATGCTAAATTGCAAAGTAGCTTACAAGAAATCCTGGGAATCCAGAGAATTAGGCTTGGAGGCACTAGAGCTAGGGGCAGTCCCCAAACTCACCATTATGACTGCCCAGTAAAGACCACAGTTCCACTGCCACTGAGCACAAGCTTTGCAACTCATATGGTCAATGCTGGGAATAGGTTACCCTCACAGATACTGACCTCTGCTGCTTCTGAATGTGCCACGTTTCTCCACCTCCCTCTACCATCCTCACTGGGGTAGATCTCACTAGGGTAGATTCTGTGTATCATTTTCTTCTTCTTTTTTTTTTTTGAGATGGAGTCTCACTCTGTCGCCAGGCTGGAATGCAGTAGCACAATCTCTGCTCACTGCAACCTCTGCCTCCTGGGCTCAAGCAATTCTCCTGCCTCAGCCTCCTGAGTAGCTGGGATTGCAGGCGCGTGACACCATACCTGGATAATTTTTGAATTTTTAGTAGAGACGAGGTTTCACCGTGTTGGTCAGGCTGGTCTCAAACTCCTGCCCTCAAGCAATCCACCCTCTTGGGCCTCCCAAAGTGCTGAGATTACAGGCGTGAGCCACGGCACCCGGCCTGAGGTCTGAGCTTGACTTGATTTTTCTTTGTTGGAAAATATTTCATTAGATTACAGCATTTGTTGTACATTTATTTTAACATTTGTTTACTTTTTTAGTCACTTTGGTAATTTGCATCTTTGTAGAAACATATCCATTTAATGTAAGTTATGCAATTTGTGGGCATACAGTTGTTCATAGTTCCTTTTTAATATTTTTAATTTCAGAAGGGTTAGGGATAATGATTTTTTTAATTTCAGATTTTAGTGATTTGTGTCTTCTCCCTTTTTTTTTTTTTTTTCTGAGATGTAGTCTCGCTCTGTCAACAGGCTGGAATGCAGTGGTATGATCTGGGTTCACTGCAACCTCCGCCTCCCGGGTTCAAGCGATTGTCCTGCCTCACCCTCCCGAGTAGCTGGAACTACAGGCACATGCCACCATGCCCAGCTAATTTTTGTATTTTTAGTAGAGACGAGGTTTCAACATGTTGGCCAGGAGGGTCTAGATCTCTTGACCTCACAGTCTGCCCCGCCTCAGCCTCCCAAAGTGCTGGGATTACAGGTGTGAGTCAGCATCATCTTCTTATGTCATTCTTCTCTAAATCGAAATCTCCAATAAGGTCTAATTGGTGCTGCCGAGGTTATATTACTATTATGTCTAAATTTAAGAAAATAACAGAAAAACAAACCTCTGGTTTTTACCCCAGACAGACAAAACTCACAGTGGGAGATTCCCCACACATAGGGAAGGTGCTCAGTAAGTACTGGAGGGCAGAGAAAACATGTCACATGCTGAATTCTGACATGGTTTAGATCTGTGTTCCCCCCAAATTTCATGCCAAATTGTAGTCCCCAGTGTTGAAGGTGGGGTCTAGAAGGAGGTGGGTGAATCATGGGGGTGGATTTCTCATGAATGGGGAAGCACCATCCTCTTGGTGCTGTTCTCATCATTGTAAGTGAGTTCTCACAAGATATGATTGTTTAAAAGTGTGTAGCACCTGCTCCTTCACTCTCTCTTGCTCCTGCTCCTGCCATGTGAGACACCCTACCCACACCTTTGCCTTCCACCTATATTAGAAGCTTCTCGAGGCCTCCCCAGAAGCAGAAGCCTTCCTGTACAGCCTGCTTCCTGTACAGCCTGCAGAATTGTGAACCAATTAAACCCCTTTCCTTTATAAATAACCCAATAACCCAGTCTCAGGTCTTTCTTACTTTTCTTTTCTTTTCTTTTCTTCTTTTTTTGATGGAGTGTCACTCTGTTGCCCAGGCTGGAGTGCAGTGGCACGATCTTGGCTCACTCCAACCTTTGCCTTCTGGGTTCAAGTGATTCTCCTGCCCCAGCATCTGAGTAGCTGGGACTACATGCACGTGCCACCACGCCCAGCTAATTTTTGTATTTTTAGTAGAAACGGTGTTTCACCATATTGCCCAGGCTGGTCTAGAACTCCTGCCCTCATGATCCACTGGTCTCGGCCTCCCAAAGTGCTGGGATTACAGGCATGACCCACTGTGCCCAGTCTCGGGTATTTCTCTATAGCAGCACAAGAATGGACTAATACAATTTCAAAAACATTTTAAAATATTAGACTCTCTTCCAGAATAATTGTGCTCACTGTTAATAAATACATACTATATTCCTATTCCCACCAAAAATGCACATATTAGCTGTATTAACTCAACTAGTCTTAATCATTTTCCTTTTCTCTCAAATCTTAGAAAAGACTGCAGATATTTTATTATATACTGAATCTTCATCCATCTAGAAACTTGAACCAAATCACCAATCAATAAATTCAAATTATTATACTAACGTCAGGGGCACTGGCTCACACCTGTAATCCCAGCACTTTGGGAAGCCAAGGTGGGGGGATCTCTTGAACCCAGAGTTCAAGACCAGCCTGGGCAACATAGTGAGACCCTATCTCTATAAAAATTTAAAAAAATTAGCTGGCTATGGTGGTGAAACCCTGTAGTTTCAGCTACTTGGTAGGCTAAGGTGAGAGGATCAATTGAGGCCAGGTGTTTGAGACTGTTGTGAGCTCAGATACAGCCACTGCACTCCAGCCTGGCTGACAGAGCAAGGACCTGTCTCAAAAAGCAAAACAAAAACAAAAACAACAACCAAAAAGCAAAACAAAAACAAAAACAAAAACAAAATACTACTATCCAATAACACTGAAAATCCCAGCAAGTTCCCCATGAAGTTTTTGCAGATTGCCAGGTTTAATTTATTCTAGAGAAGTCTAGTCTGTTCAAATTCCAATGTCCCATATGAATTATCTGCTTCTCAGTCAGTATCTGGAAACACAATTTAAAGCATTGAGAGTTCCTAACCCTTATTGTGAATAAAGTGTGTGTTTTAAATCCAAGGCTATAATCTTCTCAATCTACTCTGATGTCTGCTATAGGTTTATTAGGTCTAGAATTGATATTTTAAGTGTCATGCATGAGTCATGAGAAGAAAAAGACATTGTAGAACACATTCATTGGTTTTCGGGAGACCAGAGAAATCCTAAAAGGAGTGGCAAAGACTGGGTGCCCCATATATAAACCATCCAGCTACCTCACTACTTAAGCTGGACCCACTAATTTGAAGTGGCCCCAAACTACATTTCTCAGAAGCACCTTCTTCACAGGTGCCCAGGTAAACTATCTTGATCCAATGATATCCTTATTGCTGTAAATAGATTCATGGATTCCAATAAAACAAATCACCTTCAGAGAGGAACACATATTTTGTTGAGTTGTATCCACCTCAAGTTAATTTTTTAATTTTTAGAAATTACATCTGAAGAAGCTTAAGTAAAAAAGCTAGTTGGATTTGAAAAGAGCTTACAACTTTCTTCAAGAGGTATTTATGTCCAGCTTAAATTGATGTGTAGTCTTACACTCTAAAAATAAACAAACTTGATTTCAACAGTGTTTAAGAAAAATTCCTACTTTTCTCTAGAGATTTATTTCATCTATTTCAATTTGGGTGAAAGACGTAGAAGAATAGAAAAAGATTTTCTGTGTGAATATGCATGTTGCTCCAGTTAATAAGTTCTTTTTTTAATAGTTCTGATTTAGTTCTTAATAGTTCTGATTTAGTGAGAGAACCTCCATCTTCTCCCATCTAAAGGGTTAGAATAACAGAATTTCTTTTAATAGTCCAAGTTCTCAAGTTATGCAGAATTAAGTAAATACTATGATACTACTCCTTCCCTAGTAAAACACTGACATTTTTCCTGTTTGTTTTTGTTTTCAGGTAGAAAACAGAATATGTAAAAGCTATTTATACTACACTTTCCCACTCATGTGTATTAAGTGATTCTCTAGGATAAGCAAGCTCAAGAAAATTTATATTAAGCATTTTTATTCCCCAATATAATATTGACTATAAAACACTGTTAAAATTAAAAATACAAGTAAGTCTTGAAGGCAAAAAAATTCATTAGAAAGCAATTGCTGTGATCTGCCACTCAATCCAGCAATCCCACTACTGGGTACCTACCCAAAGAAGAAGTCATTATATTAAAAAAAAAAAAGACACCTGCATATACATGTTTATCACAGCACAATTCACAATTGCGAAGATATGGAATCAATGTAAGTGCTCATCCATCAATGAGTGGATAAACAAAATGTGATATATGTGTAATATATCACACATACCATGGAATAACACCCAGCCATAAAAAAGAACAAAACAATGTCTTTTGCAGCAACTTGGGTGGAATTGAAAACTATTATCGTAAGCGAAGTAACTTAGAGATCAAAAACCAAATACTGCATATTCTCATTTATAAGTGGGAGCTAAGCTATGGGTATACAATGGCATACAAAGTGGTATAATAGACATTGAAGACTCAGAAGAAGAGAGGGTGAAAGGAGGATAAAGCATGAAAAATTACCTACTAGGTACAATGCTCACTATTCAGGTGACAGGTACACTAAAAGCTCAGATTTCCCTACTCTACAATTCACCCATGTAACCAAACATGACTTATACTCCTAAAGCTATTCAAATTTTAAAAATTAATGAAAATTGAAATGAATCAATTGCTAGTCTTTGGCATATGAAGGAAACAAGATGAATATATTTGCTAGCTAGCTGGCAAAAGTTTCTTGAAAGGAACCTATGGTAGGAGAATTGTGATTATGGACTGCTGGTATGTGTTATCAGTACCCAACTCCTTCCTTCCTGGCAGCTTTCTGAGCCATTGACCATCCCTGGCCCATATATCTGTATAAAGTTTATAATAATCTAACAATTTCAGGGATGTCTTCATATACCTCACTTGGATACCTTGACAAGTGCCTCACAATGAAAACCACGTGTGTAAATTTGTTTTTCTGCCAACATACGACACTTGATCTCCATTTGTGAAGTCATTTACTCTAAAGAAGAAACAATTGCAATCACTGTCTCTGTATGTAAAACCAAGAAAAACTTTAGAAAGTAGATGTTCTCAGGTAGCTCTATTTCTGTGTAATACCAGCAACTCCACCTACTCAGATGTATTTATAGTTAATGTTTTCCTTCGTTTTGCTGTATTTTAACAAAATGTCACAAGTTTCTCAGAAAGCAATTAAAACAAAATGTAATCACTGATACCTGTCTGTGTTCATTTCCTTATCACATGTGCCAGACATTTTTATAAAGATGACAATTATTTATTTCAGGAAACATGTTTCTGTTCAAGGAGCAATCAAGTATAGGAATAAGGTCACTGTATTCTCTAATATGCAGTGACAGCTAACACGGCTAAGCATAAAGTGCTTAGGCACTAGGGATGGAATTTAAATGTTGGTTCAGCATCCCATTTCTGAAGTTTGATATCTTTTTTGAAATTTTCAAGGCATTACCACTAATGAATTATTTAGATAAGCAATTACAACAGTTGGGATATTTTTGTTATTGTTGTTAAACATTTAATTTAAAATATATTGGTATTCAACTGCTATCTTTTCCTTAAATAAACTAAAGAAAATATTGCTATCCTCATTGAGAGTGATAACAATATGTTAGTGACTGAGGGTTATACAGGGCCATACAGGGGTATACAGAGGTACAACGCCTGTCGTCTGTACTCAACACACTCTTGAAGGATAAGCAAGGGCTGATTGATTTTTAACGGCAGTGTAATGATTTCCTGGGCCTCTCAGTCATTTGTCTAACTATTCTGACTTCATGTTTATCATCTTACTGAAAGGAGAAGATCTGATTAAATGTGTACTTCAGAAAGCTCCAGAGATTATTAAAGTCCAGTTGTTAGCCCATAAATCATCCTAAGTTTTTACATTACGTGATTCTGAGGCATCAATGCTACTAATTACAGATTTCCTTCTAAGGCTTTTATGATAGCCAATGTGCAATTCTCAATCCCTCTGTGACTCACTCTGCCATTTACAGGCAGAGTAATGTCACCAGCCCTGCGGTAAGAGGAATACAAATTTTTTAGAAGGCTAGCCAAATTATGGTTGGTTGAAGCATCTCCCATCTAGTTTCCCAATAATTTACAATATTAACTATACGATTGTAACCTGAATAAAATTCTCCCTTGTCTTTTCATTATTTCAATTATTTTCAAGGTCTTACTTTTTATTTTTCTCTAAAACACTCATCAAAACAATATCATACTAGTCAAGATAGCAGAGATTCAACTCAAAGAAACATTGATTAAGGCACTACTGTGTTCCAGGCATAATCCTAGAGGTTTTGCAAAACAGTCTTTGCCAAATGAACAAAAGCAAAAAACTCATAATACAGCTAGAACACACAGAGATACACTCACCATAGGCTATTCTGAAAGTATTGAGTGCTGTGATAGGTATAGAAATACATATACACATAAATGAATATAGATATAAATATAGATATACAAGGGGATATAGAATCACAGGAGCCTCCCTAGAGGTAATCAGCTTTAAGCTAGAAGATGAGAATTCTCCTTGGGGTAGAGATATAAGAACACTTAAAGGAAACATAAGCCAAATATAAAATAGAGCAAGATCCTTCTTGGAACAGTAATCAAAGAAACTATATAGAAAGGGAAAATTCAGAGTAGAACCTTGAAAGGGAATCTGGGGCTACTTACAACCAGTTACAGAACTTTCTTATTCCTGTTCTTTTGGAATCATTCCAGACCAATCTCTTCCCATCATAAAACTACTAAACCATTGTGGGACATTATAGTTTCCAGGTTGCCTTTTTCAGCTAGTTTTCTTGTCTTCATACTAGCTCTTTGCTTTCTTCCTTCTTTCCCCTAACTACATTCAACCTTCCATCCCATAGGCAGAGTGATACACCTAAGGTGCAAATCTGATCCTGGCACTCAGTGTCCCTGTAGCTTCCACTTGCTCTAGACTAAGTGGTCTAGCATGCCATACGTAGTGCTCTGTGGTAAGGCCCTTGCTCTCCTTCTAGTTCCATAATGAAAGTATGGCCAGTTGGCAGCCCCTGAAGCCCGTGTGCTCTCACACCTCTGTGCCTCAGTGTGAGCTGCTTCTCTAAACTGAAGGAACTCTCTTATTCCAATTATCTTATTCTCACCCCTGTATATCCTTGAAAACTGGTATTCTTCTTCAAGAACTCAACTCAGAGGGCTTACTTGGGGAATATTTTCTAGAACCTCCTCCCCTGACTAACACACAGGGTCAGCCTCTCCTTCCTCATAGTACTCCGTAAATACATTAATAAAAGCAGGTATCACATTGCTTACTTTTTATTTTTTTAAGTCTAAGTTCTAAAAATGTCATCTAGTTTATTACTATGTCACCAGGACCTGGCAACAGTTCCTGGTTCATAACAAAGGATGAATATAGGAATAAATGAATGAATAAATAAATGAATCATAGTATCTAAGTCAAATAAGAGAGAATTTTAAGAATATGGGATTGAGTCAATAGTCATTTTATACAAAAAGGTCAAGCATAGTTAGGGTGGAAGTTATTAATGATCTTTGCAATAATAATTTCTCTAAAGATTATGATGGATTGAAAAGTACATTATGCTAAGGAAATGGCAAAAGGGGATCTTCTGTGCAACATTTACAATTTGGCCATATTTCTAAGACTGAGGAGAAGAAAGTAATGTAAGCAGAAATATTGAAAATATAAGAAAGCTGGTATGATTGACGGGAAAAGATCACAAAGGAGATAAGGAACAGGATCAAACCCCATGTGGGCAGATTTGTCTTGGAGAGCCGTGGTATTTCTCCTTTTGAAACAAGTGGTAAGAAATGCACTATCAAGTAAAGAAACAGGTAAGTTTAGAAGAAGAAGAAATGGGATTTGAGCATTTATGTCTCTGTGCCTGATATCTTTATTGTTTGCTCCAAAGAGAAGAGTTCACTACTGGAGAATGAGAACCCAGGAGAATCGTAAAGATTTGGAAAATTTAGGGTAGGGCAGCCAAGAGACAGCTTGGGCAGAATAAAGCTTAGCCTTTCATGGTATCTAGGGAACCATCCCCAAATTTAAGTAATAATAATGATAGAAATGAACAATAGATATGAACATGGACTGTGAATTGTCTCTCAATCTTAACGTAAGCATGACAGAAAGTCTCTTCAGATACTTCTGCTATTTTACTGATATACAAACTAAATGCAAACAAAATGCTATTATGCAAATGTAAATTCAAGGTAAGTCTTCTAGGCTCTCCTTCCAATCAGATTACCACCCTTTTGCTCTTCCATATAGAAATGCTAAAGCTGCTCCTGAAAATCCATATGTGGACATAAGAACATAGACTAAGGTGGAGTAAAAGAAAATTAAAAGCAGCACAAGGGTCCAGCTGAAAGTGAAACTGTTAAACCTTTGATGACATCAATTTGAATTTGCAACGTTTTAAAATTGTCTAGTTTGAGCCATGGTAGAGCAAATGACAAGTTTCTGAAAGATTTGAGAGCCCTGGCTAGAGTAGCTATGGAAGACTATGAGGAAAAGATAAGAGCCACGGAGGCATAGAGCAGGATGGCCAGGTGGGGACCCAGGTAAGCACAATTCATTCTGCTTAAATGGGGAAATGAGGCTTTGAGTTTCTTTGATATGGATGTCACTGTGCAAGCTGGATGATATTTGGGCAGAGAATAAAATGGGTTTAATACACTGTCCAGGAAAAACGTTTGTCTGGGTCTGTCCCTACCCTCTATCTGACAGGTAGCTGGTTGTTGTTATCTCCTGTAGCTTCTTGTACTATCCAGGCTCAGAAGGACTCCTCACCATGGTTAGAAATCAATAAAGGCATCTGAAGTTAGTTGAGAATAGCCTGTGAATACCTTCTCAGTATCCTTTCCTTTTGGTTAGATTTGTCCTAACTCACGCATTACATCACACATTCACTGAGCAAATATTTATAGAGTGCTGACTTTATGCCACACACTGTTCAATGTGTTTGGATATAACAGTAAACAAAGAAGCAAGATGACTGCTATTATAGAACTTAATATTCTAGACTGCAGAAAAGAGATCCTAAGTGACTACACATATACACACAAAGATTATACACACACATACACACACATATATATAACACATTTAAAAGATAAATTGGAAAACATTAAAAAGGATAATGTGAAGATGAAAAAGGATGGCTTAATTTGAGAGGCCAGGAAAGACCACTCTGATAAATTCAAATGTGACTAAGAACTAATGGATACCAAGAGCCAGCCACATGGCCATATGGATGTAGAAGGCAGAGGTAATAGCAGGAACAAAGATCCCAAGGCAGGAATAAACTTGAAGTGTGGCTGACACACAGCAAAGAGCTGGAAAGGAGGTAATGTGGTTGAGAAGGAGTGAATGAGGTGGAAAGGTACCGGATAAGGGCAAAGGAAAGAGAGAAAATCATTTTTTGAAAAATTGTGCAGGCTATGATAAATGGTCTGAATATTATTCTGCCTGAAATGGGAATCTGCTAAAGGGTTTCAGCAGAGGTGTGATATAATCTGATCTGTATGTCAAAACAGCACTTTGACTTTTGCTTGAAAAAAGAAAGGATTCAGCGAAGAAATAGGGAGGCAATTATTAGGAAGCTATTGCATTGATCCAAAAGATGGTTGTACCATCCAAGATAATAGGGGTAAAAGTAGAGAGAAGTACAAACTCAAAATGTTTTTAGAGATAGAAATGGCAGGGCTTTGTAATTGATTTCGTTGTGAATATACAAGAAAAGAGAAATAAAGAAACAGTTCTATGTTTTCAGTTTGACTCTATGAGTAGGCAGTAGTGTAATTTCCTGACAGGGAAGAAAACTTTTCCAGTTCTACCAGGGCAGAATTGAGTCCCAAAGAAGAGATAGGGTCCAGCCACTCTAGAGACACAAAGATCTATCTGACACTCGAGGTATGCAAATTATGATTGTAAACTGAAATCCATTTCGAAGCTCTTTCTCCTGTGCCTCTTTTTCCTGTGGCATGGCCTAACTCCTAGTGATCCAACTTGGAAATGCTGTAGTCATCTTTGAATTTTCTATTTCTTTTACATACAAAATCCAGTCTGATACCCAGCCATATGGATTTCACTTGAAAAAATGTCTCTTGACCATGTATTCTCTGCTACACTACCCTTGATTTATTCAGGTCTTTTCAGTCTTCAATGGATCTACTGAGTACCCTGAAGTCTTTTCTCTGCTTCTAGGTTTCTCCTTCTCTGCCCATTTCTTCCAAGCTATAAGCTGCTGTCACAGTAATCTTTATAAATGAATGACTGGAAATATTTATGCACTTAAACAGAATAGAAATCAGGTAAAATTTGTGATGACTCTTGACTTGTAGTGAGTTAAAGGTAAATTCCTGGGCATGTAATATAACAGACTTTTCCAAGGGTACATGATTAGAAAAATGCCAATCCCTGGTCAATTTTAACTGGTCTGAGATAGAATTAGAAAAACAGGACAATAATATATATATGTATACATATATATACATATATTCATATATATTCATATATATGCATATATATATTCAAATATATATATATATATATATATATATATATATATTCAATTCAGTTGTATTCATTTGCCAACTGTCCTTTCTTGAAAAAGACTAGACATTATATTTATATGTCCTTTGGATCTGTTCAAAAATTTTCAGTCCCTGGTCAGAAGATACACCCTGTTAAAATACGTCATGTCCAAGGGAATTGTAAACATCTGGGACATCAGTGAGGTCGGGTAATGTGAAACAATGTCTACAGTTTATATTCCAAACACAGTCACGTAGGGAAAATAATGACCTCAACCAGTAGAGAATTCCTCACCCAGAGAATGTACACAATGCTGGAGAAAGAATCCCTTGTGAGAAATTAAAAGACATCATAGGACTCTATACCATTGCATATGTCTACTTCAGAGGTCTAATATCATGCACTGTCCTGCTTTAATAAAAACGCTTCTGCCAAAGCCTTGTCAACAGGATTACCCATTCGAGGGATGCTTGGGTGTTCTGATGGGTATTTGAGAAGAGGGTACAATCACTATAAAACATTGGGTATGTTCCGTGTCACAGGTAACTAAGTGGCATTTTATTATATTCAATTATATGCTTCAATTTTCATATGAATTTTTTCATACATGAAAATATGACTCTGCAAATAGCTTATAATTTTGTCAAACATTAATCTATTTTCCATAAATATTAAGAGAAAAAATCACAATTATTCTTAAACATTTGTTGATTTTAAACCATTTGTTTCCAGGGTCAATTAACCTAAATTAGTATCAGCTAAAATATCATTTAGAGTTAGCAGAAACATCAGAAGGAGGTGAAAGGAGGAATTCTGGGTTGTACAGAGGGGATCTAGTAGGAAGAAACTGAAAGAAAATATATCAGAAATAAATTTGTCATACTGGACAAGGTAGTAAGAGGTGAGCCTTGGGAAGAGATATACTGCCTGGTCTTTCTGAGATGACAAGGCATTAAGCAAGGTTTATAAATAATAAACCCATAACAAATTATATAAGCAGCCTTTGGAATTTAAAGCAAAATAGACTTTGAGCGCTCATAAATTTGCTCCCAAGTTAACCTCACAAAATTACCCTTAATTTAAAATTTCACAGTCACTCCACCAATAGATGCACATTAGAAGTGCATTGGGTAATTACTATTTATTAGCATTACATACAATTTAGACCAGTTTCAGGAAACACCGTATAAATTCTTTCCCTTGAATCTGACCTTAACCACAAAGTCTAATGATCTAACCAGAGCAGTTAGCAGGGCAGAGAGAACCCATTATCTAAAGAATGTTTTTGGAAAATGCCAGTTCACTTGTCATTTATCGGCGAAAAAGCAATCTGACCTTGGGGATGAAGTCATCTTTCCAAATTTCATTTTAGGATCCAGTAAATCTACTAAAAACTTAGCAGAAATTGAGAGTTGAGATTAAGAGCCTCAAGCACATGTATCTTAGATACAGCCTGACGTGATAGTGCAGAACGCATTGCCTATTTTAATATTCTGATGCAAGCCACTACTGCAGAGATATATTTGCATTCAGAATGCACGGTCATAGAAGCAATGTGATCTAAAGGCTTGTCATGTGTTAAATGCCTCACAGTGTTTTGCAGACAACAGAAAGTTTCACTTGCAAAAAGTACTAGAATTAATGAGTCATGGTAGGTGACAAGCTCTTAAGCTGATACATACATCAAGGAACTGAGCTTCTCATAACCATCCTGCCATACTTGATTATGTTCTGGGAAAACATCCCACATACAAATGTGACTTTGTTTATTAAATCTAACATATTAAATGCAGTATGCTGCTAAAAATTACTCTCATTTTTATATAGAATATATTTCCATAAACTATATAATAGATAATAATTTAAACAACATTAACTATAAAGAGTTTGAAGAAAATATTGTTATAGCTTGCATTAAAATGTCATGAGATCAGAGAGGCTTAGAATAAATGATTTGATGAAGGCTTTTCTTACAAGTCCATTTTATCTGAAGCAGGGTAAATTCTGCCTTGAAATATTCTCTCTCATAAACAGACCAACTCAATCTTAAAGAGTTCCTAATGCAGATTCTAAAATTGTTTCATTTGGGCTAATGACATAGAATAAGGAGGAAGGAGAGAATCATGCATTCTTGAAGCAGAAGAAATTGCCAATTGCTTGCTCTCTGGGGAGATGGTTTTGAAAACCAGTGTGAAAGGCTTGAATGAATGTGTACATTTGCACAAGGGCAGTAACAAAGACTCTGTGACAGTATGAGACAACATCAGCAAGTAGGTCCAGTATCCAATGACTCTTCCAAAGGAATGAGGACTGACTCATGAAAGCTGAGTAAACTATTAAGGGTCAGGTGTAAGGATCAAATACTGTGGCAACATCTGGGTGTGGAAGGTAAAGAGAAACAGGACTATTTGTGGCCAAACCTTGAACTAGGGAAACGCAAAGGGGTGGAAGACATGCAGTGAAGAAAGCAAATGGACTGTGGAGCTATAATAACTTCTTATTCCCCAAGCTAGTCAAGCAGACCGACTTTATTCTAAGTATCAAATACAGGGAGTCAACTCAGTGCATTGTTATAAGAGCAGAAGTTTTAGCATCAGCAGAACGGTAAGCTCTGCCATGTATTACCTCTGTGACTTCAGGCATGTTACTTCTGAGAGAAGCTAAGTAACACATTTCTTTATCTGTAAATGGGATGATACTCTCTACATAAACACGTGACAATGTAATTGGCATGTGGTAACTTCACAATAACATTAACTTTTTCGTATTGCCTTAGTGCTCCTTATATTATGGCAAATCACAGGGAATGAAGATAGAGTTGATCCCTGATTATTGGTATGAGGCATGGCTCTGCAGTCTTAATAGGCCCCACTGTGTTTAGAAACATATTGAGTAGCCCCAGCAGCTGCTAGCTGTAAAGTCTTTCTAGGTACAAGGTTCTTCACCTTGGCTGCACTTTGCAGACACTCAGAGAGCTTTATAAAAACTAAGTTGTTAGTTTTTATAAAGACTATATATCAGAATTTTAAAAGATTTGCAGGCAAGTGATTTTAACATGGTGGGAAGGCTGTTGTCACTATGTTGGAGAATAACCAGTGAGTGGAAGGATTCCAAAGGACAAAAGACTTCTCTAAAAGACACTGAGCCATATACACAGTAACTGATTAAACCAGCCTAGCAGGGATATGGACCTAAAACTGACAATAAATGTAATAGAAAAAAAATGGTCGGTGGATGTGGATATGGCTTGGATGTGGATGTGAGTGTTAGTGTGGCTGTGAATGCGGGTGTGGATGTAGCTATGGATGTGGATGTGGGCGTGACTGTGAATGTGAATGAGCATGTGGCTGTGGCTGTGGCTGTAGCTGTGGACAAGGATAAGGATGTGGATGTGACTGCAAATGTGGATGAAAATGTTGGATGTGGATGAGGACTTGGATGTGGATGTGGCTATGGATGTGGATGAGGATGTGGCTATGGATGTGAATGTGGCTGTGGCTGTGGATGTAGCTGTAGACGTGGGTGTGGATATGGATGTGACTGTGGATGTGGATGGGGATGTTGATGTGGCTGTGGATGTGAATGTTGCTGTGGATGTGAAAGAGGATATGGATGTGGATGTGGAGACTGTGGATGTGAACGAAGATGTGGCTGTGGCTGTGGCTGTGGATGTTGCTGAGGATGTAGATGTAGACAAGGATATGAATGTGACTGTGTTTGAATGTGGATGTAGCTGTGGATGTGGATGAGGATGTGGATGTGACTGTGGATATGAGTGTATATGTGGAAGAGGGGGTGGATGTCACTGTGAATGTGGATGTGACTCTGTATGTGGATGTAGCTATGTATGTAGATGAGGATGTGGATGTGATTGTGAGTGTGGATGTTGCTGGAGATGTGGATGTGGGTACAGACAATGACAGAGTGAGAGAAAGTCAGTGGGTCTTGAAGAATGGTCCTATGACTATGTAATGCCTGGCTGCACCAAACAATTGAAGTTCTATTTTGACGAGTTATATTCCCATCCTGACTATTCCCATCACTTTATAAAGAAATTTGACTGTGAAGTACTTGGGGCACAAGAGAAAATAAAAATAATAAAATGAGAATTTCTTAGAAACAACAAAACAACAGCAGAGGCAAGAATGGGTAGATCTGTGTACGTCTACCCATGTGTACCCTGTGTACATCTGTGTGTGTACTTTTTCCGATCTTCCCTGGTTGTACATTCAACCATTAGCTGAATCTTTGTGAATCCAATGAGAGAAGGTATTTGGAGGCTCCCTAAAGTTTTTTGTTTGTTTATCATTCTTTGCAGGCTTAAGGGGACGTATTGTGAAAACAGGCAGGGTAGGGAAACACTGACAGCGCGCAGCATGAAATATGCAGCATGCTGCCTATGCTGCCTAACCTTGCTCCTCTGACCTTAAGACCACACTGTGTGGCACCTAGTGGTGGCTCTGTGTAGGCATGTGTACAACACATATGTGTGAGAGTGGGGTCAATTCCTCTTATCAAGTTATTCTAAATATACACCCAATATTAATGTAAATAACTTAACTATCATATATGCAATGCAGATACAACTTTAAGAAAGGTCCCATAGGCTCCTCTTCCAACCATGTTGCCATAATGAGACCCTACCACACATCTACCATGAAGATGGGTAGATCAAGCAAGGAGAAGAAATAGATGAATTGAAGGTAGAATGCAAAGAAAGCAAACAATATTGTAGAAGGAAGCAGGAGGAAAAATACAGAAAAGAAAGTGGGTAACAGTCTAAGTAAGAAACCACTCTTCTTGCTTTGGGAGGAGATTCTGATCAGAACTGGAAGTCTGCCCTCTCTCCTTGCTAAGAAGCCAGAGTTAGAAACACAGGTGTCTTCTCCCTTATTAGCAAGTGCCAGGGGAATTAACAGTCCATTCCACATGTTCTGGTCTTTGAGACTCTCACCGGAAGCAATGATATTGGAGAAACAGTAAGTAAGGTCCACTGGGTGAATGCTCCCTTAAGGGCAAATAGGAGGCTGAATCTGGGCCGCAGTTGTCGAAGAAGAAAGAAATCTAATCACTTCTTAATCTCTGATTTTGGCAGCCAGTACTTGTTCTCCCAATAGATTCTACTACATGTCTCACAACTATAAACCTTAAATTGCTAACAACAGTCTTGCCTCTATAGTCCATCTTTCAGCCACAAGGTCCTGTGAGATTTGCATAATAAACAGTTCTAATTTATTTTTTTCTTCAAAATTCAGAGTTGTGATAAAAATATAGAAATATAATAGTCTTGTCCTTCAAACAGTTTTCATTCTGGTTTGCAATTGTTTTTAGGTACTAGAAAAGTGTAATAATTAGGATCTATTATCAAGATGACTGGAGCACTGAATCAGTATAATGGCCTCTGTCCATATAAATCATGGTGGCATGATGATATAAATGATAGTTTTATAGCCATTTCTGGAATCTACACTCAATGAAACAAAATAATATTATCTTTCTGAGACAGCTTCCACCTCCAAGAATATTAAGTGGAAGTATCTTTTCTAAAGAGAAAGTTACACATATTTTCCTTCAGAATAGCAAGTGGAGGGTGACGACACTCAAACAGGGTCAGCAGATGTCAGGGCCCATCCCTGCCAGATGCTCCAATACCCGAGGCACCTATCAAGAAAGGAGAGGGGGAGCTTTGTACATGGTGTACCAACTTCTCTACTAAATTACCAACTTCTTGAAAACCACAGCTCATTCTCTCTCTCTAGGGAGCAAGCAATAAAAGAAATCTATGGAAGAAATGATTTTCCTTCATTCTCCTTTGAGCCTCTGTGCACAGCGAAATGAGGGTTTCTACATAAATATTTCTTTCTGACTTAATGTACTGCCCTGGTTACTTATTTCAACACTTTCACTACATGTCTTCCTTTATAATCCATATAGGGATGACTTCTTTGGGGATATTACGGAAAGATAAGGGATAAAGGGTAGAGGAGTGGCTGGAACTGAATACCAGAGGATCCCACATTACTGCCATTGCTCTCTACCAAATAACAGCCTAGAACTCACAGACTCAGCAGCTTTCCATGCAATATTAACGCAAGACAATGGCTTCTGCTCTGGAATGCACCCCCCAACAGGCAGACTTCATTTTCAGGAAGACCATACATACTGGTTTGCCTGAGACTATTTGGTTTTTGCAAATTGCCCTGCCATATGTATAATTGCACCACTTTTCCAAGCAGGGTCACTTTTACAGAAAGTGACCCTGCTTGGAAAAAAAAAGTATATAATCACCCTACTTTAGTTTTCCTTTATAACACTATCCCGTACCACTACCTACACCACTACCATAAAAATCTGACATGAAATACCAGATTTTACTACCATATTGGAAAAACTTTCAAAGAGCAAAGTATAAATTAAAGAATTTAAAAAGAAACACTACATATGACCTTCCTTATAGTCCAGAAGAAAGGACTGAATAATTTCTTTTAGAGATGCACCCAAGGTCCTGACCTTGCTCCTCTGACCTTAAGACCACACTCTGTGGCACCCAGTGGTGGCTCTGTGTGGGCATGTGTACAACACATATGTGTGAGAGTGGGGTCAGTCTCCAACAACTCCTCTTATCAAGTTATTCGAAATATACACCCAATATTAATGTAAATAGCTTAACTATCATATATGCAATGCAGATACAACTTTAAGAAAGGTCCCATAGGCTCCTCTTCCAACCACGTTGCCATAATGAGACCCTACCACACATAAATTCTGGACTTTCCACTTTCTACACCCACCCTGAGAGCACCTTGAACTCTCTATAGTGCCAGATTCCACACATCTACTCACAGGAGTTAGACTCTCTCCAGGGTCCATCTCTCATCTCCCATAAGCACTCAATAAACAGAGTAGCCATTTGTGCAATTTCCCAAATCTGACTTATTTAATATAGTACAAAATTCTCACGTGAGGATAGAGCAGAGAGGAAGTGCTTCGGAGGCGCCATCTGAATAGTGCAGCATAAATTTAGGTGTGCTAAACCCAGCCCCTTTGAGGACTTCTTATCAATATGAATTTACTTTATTTTTTTCTCTAAGCACCTAGTAAGTAATTGTTGGAACACATTTCTGATGCATGAACACATGTATACCAAACCATGCCAGACAATCATCAGTTCTCAGAAATAGCACAGTCTAAATTCAAAAGGAGAGAGAAAAATGTGTTTCTAAATGCCCTGTAACTGGCAATGTCCCTGATGCCCACAGCGTAGGCAGCATGCTGCATATTTCATGCTGTGCGCTGTCAGTGTTTCCCTACCCTGCCTGTTTTCACAATATGTCCCCTTAAGACTGCAAAGAATAATAAACAAACAAAAAACTTTAGGAAACCTCCAAATACCTTCTCCCACTGGATTCGCAAAGATTCAGCTAATGGTTGAATGTACAACCAGAGAGGACCGGAAAAAGTATATACACAGAGTGTCCTCTTACCCTCCAGCCTCTGCATGAGGAACGGATTATTTCATTTGTATTGCTATAATTTTGAAGATAAAAATGTGAGAAAAGCTTACATTGATTTCTCTCTCCATTTTCTGTTTAATTTTTTCACTTTCTCCTCCTTTAAACGATTCCTACCTTCTGCACATTTATATTATATCAAATGCTATGTGTAGTCAGCAGGCAATGCCATGAAAAATAAGAAAAAAGACCTGCAGTTACTTAATGCTTTTTGTACAGAAAACACAATGATATAAAATACCTGTCTTATCAGATAAGTCAGCCAATATATTAACACAGAAACTGTTCATTTCCACCAAAAGCTGAGTCAGTATGGCAGAATGAATAAGATACAATGAAATCAGGAAGATACAGTTTAAAATCTTGAGTCTGCCACTAACTCCCACTGTAACATTGGGCGAGTTACTTAAATTTCTCTGAATCTCAATTATCTTAATTGAAAATTGATTTAACTTTATCTTTTAAAGTTGTGAGAAGAGTTAAATGAAAAATCAAATAAAAAACATCAAAAACGATATGTGGTAACTTCTTTAACTGCCAAATAAGTCACTGCCCAGTGCTCTCACCTGAATGCATAAGCACATCTTCAAACTCAACGTCGCCAATCCACTTCTTGAGAAAAATACCTCATGACCAACATTGGGAATCACCAGTAGTTCATCATTCTCTGCTATCTTATGTCATCCGATCAGTCATTGAATCTTCTGGGGGTCCACTTCAGAACAAGCTTCATCTTTTTCTCTCCCCATTTATTTCCATGGGCACTGCCTTAATATAGGTTTCCATAGCCTCCCTTCTATACTGCCTTAATATAGGTCTTATAATTCTTCTGGATTATTACAGTCTTTACTGGTCTTCCTGCCTCCAATCTCTACCCTTCTAAATCTACTCTCCCAATTATCCCAAGGTAATGTTTTTGAACTATAAATATGCTCACATACTTGCTATCCTTGAAATAATGTAATGACTTTCCTTTGCCTATTAGAATGATTTTCAGCTCCTTAGCATGGTATATACTAAATCTTTTTTTTTTTTTTTTGAGATGGGGTCTTGCTCTGCTGCCCAGGCTACAGTGCAGTGGCATGATCTCGGCTCACTGCAACCTCTGTCTCCCAGGTTCAAGTGATTTCTGGCTAATTTTTTTATTTTTAATAGAGACAGTGTTTCACCATGCTGGGCAGACTGATCTCAAATTCCTGACCTCAAGTGATCCGCCTGCCTCGGCCTCCCAAAGTGCTAGGATTACAGGAGTGAGCCACGGCACCCAGCCTATACTAAATCTTCACTGGCTATATTAAAACCCTCATTTTTCTGCCACTACTAAGCAGGTAATCTTCAGGCAGCCCCCTAGTTATTATTTCCTTAAGTATAACTTAATAAATATTCTTAAGAAAATCTCATTTGCTTAAGCCTCTGGGCCTTTCTGCATGATATTTCCTTTAAAATGTTTTTTTTTCTTTTTGTTATTAATTATTGAACCTAAATTGCTCTTTGAATTCAACTGAGCAAAGGCTCCACCAGGGTTATTTGTTCAGTCCTTTAAAATCATAAGCTACTTTTTAAAAGATTATT
Organism: Homo sapiens; assembly: GCF_000001405.40. Lineage (NCBI taxonomy): Eukaryota > Metazoa > Chordata > Mammalia > Primates > Hominidae > Homo > Homo sapiens. The sequence continues at coordinate 52,888,604 of NC_000002.12, forward strand.
ATAGCAGTATATAATGATCTATTTAAATGTCTACTGCCTAACTAAATAAAGAGCATGAGTTTTTTGTCTTTGACTCTTCAGTATCTAGCACAACATCTGGCACCTGGGCAGCCTCACTGCCTGTGCTGAATGGACACATGGGTGAATGGGCAACTGGAAATGGAAATATTCATTTGTTTGAACTGACATATGTCACAGGCATTATTGCAAAAGAAGGACTGGTTTTTGTAAAGTGAAAATGCTGTGGACACTTAAACCTAAAGAATGGAAGGAATGATAACTACCATACCAGAAAAGAAGTGTCAAAATGAGTTTGCAGGGTTTGTTTTAAATGTGCCCAGCCTGTTTTTATTCTAGGAGATTTTGCTACTGTGTCTATCAAAATGCATATGTCTAACAAAGAATACATGGGACTGCCATCATTTACCCTGAGGTGACCTAGAAAGCAATTTGTTAGTGTGGAGAAACACACAAATGACCCAAAGACTAGGGTGATCATCATTCATTTATTCAACAAATATTTACTGAGAACTTAATATATACCAGTCACTGATTAGCTATAAAAATGTTTTTAATTGGACTAATGAGAGTTGATGATGTCACTGCAAAAGAAAAAAAACCCCAAAAGTCATGTGTTTGGAGACTATTAAAGTGTTTACTTCCTGTATAAACTGATTTTCCCACTTCCTTGACCATAAGTTACCTTCCTAGGGAAGATTATACTGTGAAAATACCTTACTCTAATATAGCCTCATACATAAGGAAACATGGCATATCAAAGTGGGACAGTATGTTGAGGGTTCACGAGACCATCCACTTCATTGGTGCATTGGTAAATTCTGCCCTCCTTTTAGAATTTACTATATTTAGTACAAAAGGTCCCTTATATGACTAACTGGCACCTAGACAAGAGATACTACTTGAGTTCTCATAAGATAAAACATTTGTAACAACTACAGCAGGTGAAAGCAAACTACATCTTGAAGGCAAAATCTACCCAAAGTTTGTTTCTGTAAATAAAGTTTTATTGCAACATGGTGCATATCCATTCATTTACATATTGTTTACAGCTGCTTTCTTCCCTAATGGCAGAGTTGAGTACTTGTGACAGAGACTGTATGGCTTGCAGCTGCTGAAACATTTACTATCCGTCCCTTTATAAAAATTTGCCAAGTTTTCTACTACAGGTACCGGATTGTATTGAGAAAACCATTTCAGAATACAAATGTAGTAAAGTAGATAAGATCAGTCAGCTAAAAGGAAGTTTAAATCCCACTAACCAACCTCTCTGTATCCTCCCTTCCCATTCACACACCCTTCCCAGGCTTTGATATCTATCATTCTATTCTCTACCTCCATAAGATCAGATTTTTAGCACCCACATATGAATGAGAACACGTGGCATCTGTCTTTCTGTGACTGGCTCATGTCACTTAACGTTATGACCTCAACTTCTTTCCACATTGCTGCAAATGACAGGATGTCATTCTTTTTTATGACTGAAGAGTATTTTATTGTGTGTGTGTGTGTACATATATATGTGTATATATATGTATATACGTATACTACATATACGTATATACATATATATACACACACGTACATGTATACATAGTATATATGTATATACATATATATGTATATACATATACACACACACACACACACACACACAATTTTCTTTATCTATTCATCATCTGTTGATGGACACTTAGGCTGATTCTATACCTTTGCTATTGTGAATAAGTGCTATGATAAACATATAAATGCAGGTATCCCTTTGATACATAGATTTATTTTCCTTTACACAAATACCCAACTCAAGATTGCTATGACTATTCAGCTTATTTTTGGTTCCATGAGAATTTTAGAATTGTTTTTTCTATTTCTGTGAAAAATGGCATTGGTATTTTCACAGAGATTCCATTAAATCTGTAGATTCCTTTGGTCAGCATGGTCATCTTATTGATATTAATTCTTCTGATCCCTGAGCATGGGATGTCTTCCATTTGTTTGCTTCCTCTTCAATTTCTTTCATCAGTGTTTTGCAGCTTTCTTTGCAGAGATCTTTCAGCTCCTTTGTTAAAATTAATTCCAAGGCATTTATTTATTTTTTGTGGGTATTTTAAATGGGATTACCATATTGATTTATTTCTAAACTGGCTTATTATTGGTATATAAAAATGCTATTGATTTATGGATGTTGATTTTGTATTCTGCAACTTTAGTGCATTTATCAAATCTAGGAATTTATTGGTAGAGTATTTAGGGTTTTCTAAATGTAAGATTATAACATCAGCAAAGAGGGACAATGTGACTTTTTCTTTTCTAGCTTGGTTGCCTTTTCTTTCTTTCTCTTGCTCCAACTAGGACTTCCAGTACTATATTGAATAGGCATGGTGAAAGCAGGCATCCTTGTTTTGCTCCAGATCTTACAGGAAAGGCTTTCAGTTTTACCCGAGTCAGTGTGATGTTAGCTGTGGGTTTGTCACACATGGCTTTCATTATTTTGAGGTAAGTTTTCTCTATGTCTGTTCATTGAGAACATTTATCCTGAAGAGATGCTGAATTTCATCAAATGCTTTTCCTGTGTCTTTTGAGATAATTATATGGTTTCTGTCTTCCATTCTGTTTATGTGATATTTCATATTTATTGATCTGCATATGTTAATTATTCTTGCATCCGTGAGATAAATTCCACTTGGTCATGTTATATGACCATTTTGATATGCTGCTGGATTCAGATTGTTATGTTTTGTTGAGGATTTTTGTGTCTATGTTCATCAGAGATATTGGCTTATAGTTTAGTTTTCTGTTGTGTCCTTGTCTGGCTTTTGTATCAGGGTAATGCTGGCCTCATAGAATGAGTTAGTGAGGGTTCCGTCTTCATCAATTTTTTAGAATAGTTTGAGGAGGATTGGTACTAGTTCTTTTATGTTTGGTAGAATTTGGCTTTGAATCCATCCTATACTAGGATTTTCTGTATTAGAGAACTTTTTATTACTGATTTAATCTTGCTACTTGTTACTGTTTTTTGCAGACTTTCTATTTATTTCTAATTTAATCTTGGTAGGTACTATGCTTTAAGGAATTTCTCCATTTCTTCTAGGTTTTCCAGTTTGTTAGTACATAGCTATTTATAATATTCTCTGATGATCTTTTATACATCTGTTGTACCAGTTGTAATGTCTCCTTCTTAAATTTTGATTGTATTTGAGTCTTCTTTTCTCTTTTCTACTTGGTTAGTCTAGGTAGCAGGTTACCAATTTTGTTTATCTTTTTTTAAGTACCAACTTTTTAATTGATCCTATGTATTGTTTTTCAGTCTGTATTTTGTTTACTTTTGCTCTGATCTTTATTTCTTTTCTTCTGGTTAATATGGGGTTTGTTCTTGCTTTTCCCGTTCCTTAAGGTCATATCATTGGTTATTTATTTGAAATCTTAACTGCTTTTCTTGATGTAGGCATTTATTGCCATAAACTTTCCTCTCAGTACTGCTTTTGCAGTATTTCACAAATTTTAGTATGTTGTATTTCTGTTTTCATTTAAGAAAATTTTGATTGCCATCTTAATTTCTTTATTGACCCAAGGGTTGTTAAGGAGCATGATTTTTAATTTTCACGTATTTGTGTAGCTTCCAGTTTCTCTTGGGGTTGATATCTAGTTTTATTCCATTGTCATCTGAGAAGATACTTGAAATGATTTCAATTTTCAAAAATTTGTTGAGGCTTGTTTTGGGGCCTGACGTATAGTCTATACAGGAGAGTATTACATGTATCGATGGGAAAAATGTATATTCTGCAGTTATTGGATAAAATGTTCCTTAAAATCCGTAAGGTCCATTTGATCTAGAGTTCAGTGTAAATCCAATACACCTTTGTTAGATTTCTATCTAGTTGATCTGTCTAACGCTAAAAATGAGTGTTGAAGTCACCAACTATTACTATATTGAAGTCTATCACTTTAGATGTAATAATATTTAATCAATTTACATTCAAGATTATTATTGATATGTGAGTTTTTGTACTGTCATATTGTTAATTTTTTTTTGGTTGCTTAGCATGTTTCTTCTTCATTTTCTCTTATTGTTTGTCTTTGTGGTTTGATGTTATACTCTAGTGACACCATTTGCGTCCTTCCTTTTCCCCATTTGTGTGTTTGGTTTACCAGTGAGTTTTGTACTTTCATGTATTTTTATGATGGTAGTTGTCATCCTTTCACTTCCAAGTTTAAGACTCCCTTGAGCATTTCCTGTAGGACCAGAATAGGAGTGATCAATTCCCTTAAATTTTTGGTTGTCTGGGAAAGCCTTTATTTTCATTCAGGAAGAATAACTCTGCTGAACGTAGTATCCTTGGTTGAGGTTTTGTTGTTGTGGTTTTTGTTGTTGTTTTAGCACTCTGAATACATTCTCACATTCTCTGCTGGCCTGTAAAGTTGCTGCTGAGAAATCTACTGTTAGTCTTTTGGGGTTCCTTTATAGGTGACTAGACACTTTTCTTTTCTTGCTTTTGGTATTTCTTTTGCTTTAACTTTAGACAGTTTGACTATAATGTGTCATCAAGAAGACCTTTTAGCATTATATCTGTTTGGAGATCTTTGGGCATTCTGTATCCGGAATCCTAGGTCTCTAGCTAGACTTGTGAAGTTGTCATCTAATATTTCATTCAATACGTTTTCTAACCTTTATGTTCTTTCTTCACCCTTGGAAATACCAATATCTAGTCATTTTATATTGTTGCAAATGTCATGAAGACTTTTCTCATCCTGAAAATACTTCTTCTGCTTGATCTAGTCTATTAAAGCTTTCCATTGTATTTTATATTTGATTTAACTTTACATTGTTCCAAATGTCACAAAGACTTCTCATTCTGAAATTATTTTTTCTGCTAGATCTAGTCTATTAAAGCTTTCCATTGTATTTTATATTTGATTTAATAAATTCTTCAGTTTTAGAATTTCTATTTGGTTCTTTGTTATATCTGCCTTTCTGGTAAATTTCTCATTCGTATCCTGAATTATACATATTTTACCTGTATTGTTTTTCAGAATTCTCTTGCATCTTTAAAATCAGTATTTTGAATTCTTTATCTGAGATTGTAACAATTTATTTTTGATTGGTTTCTTTTGCTGGAGAATTATGAGTTCCTTTCAGGTGTCAAGTTGCCTTGCTTTTTATGTTTCCTTTGTCATTACACTGATACCTGTACATCTGGTGTAATGATCACTTCTTCCAATTTATAAGATTGTTTTCATAGGGGAGGACTTTTTTTCTTAAGGTGTATTTATGTTATTGGTTGGATATGATGCTTTGGCTTTGATTTTGGGTGCATGCATTTGTGTGTTTTCTGTATGATTTTTTCCACTGTAAACTGCATCAGTGGTATCTGTGATTCCTTCAGTGGCTCAGGGTTTGGTTATTAGTGGAGGCTGTGGTGCAGTTTTGCTGGGGACTAGGGTGCCAGATGGGCCAGTCTTCAGGCCCCAGTGGTGGCAATGGTGACTTGAGCATGCCTGTCTTTGGGCCCCTGGATGGCTTATGCTGGCACCAGTGTTGGTGGACCCAGGAGGTCTGGTTTTTGAGCTTCCACATAAGCAAGAGTGGGCTGAATATGTGGGCAGTTTCTTGGGCCTCTGGCCAGCTGATGTGATGTGGGTGATGGCAGTGGCAATGGTGGAATTCCCAACCCACTGGAATCCAAGTGATCTATTTTGGTGTTGGCAGTGGCTACAACAGGTTGGGAAGCCCAGGACCCTGTCCTGCTGGTGGCATGTGCAAGTAGGTGTCAGCTATGGTGATATCAGCCCAACCTCAAACCTCAGAAGCAATTTTCTGGTGCTAATGGTAATGAATTAGGTTGGGCAATTTTCAGACCCGTTGACAGCATGTTCAATTACTGAAAGGATAAGACCAGGCCAGCATGCTAGTTCTCAGGCCCCCAGCATTGTGTTTAGGTGCTGGTTTTTATAGGCAGAATTGGAGTGCTCCCCAGTTCACTGGCAGAATGCTCAGGTATGGGCAGTGGCAGCTGAACTGTGGGCCTGCCACCAGGGAGGGTAAGGCCATTCTCAGTGAAAGCAGCATAGGAAGGATATGCAGATTCCTTGTACCTCAGTCCCAAAGCTGCCTGCAACAGTGGCAGTGGGATTTGTCCTCAGAGCATGGGAAGGTGCTTAGCCTTCCCTCTCCCTTCTAGGCTCAGTGGTGGCAGCGGCAGTAGCGGTGTCCTCAGGGAAGGATACAGTCCTTTGTCCAAAGGCTTGGTCCCTTGTAGGTTTGGCTATCAGAATGGTACCAATAGCAGCTGCTCAATACTCAGAAGCTTATGGGATTCCACATGTGTTCCCTCTCTGCAGCAATGCCTCTGTGCAATCTCTAGGTAGCTCCCTATGTTAGACTTAAGGCCAACCTGGGTAGAGGAGTTCTCCCATAGCTAGGATTGTGAAATACTGTGGGAGGAGTGTGAGCCCGGGGGTCTTTCTCATACCCTTTCCCTGAGTCTGGGAGCTTCTCCCACTTTCCAGCCGATCTTGGACAAGCAGGCTGCTTCAATTCCTTTTTCTCATTTTGATTGCTTCCCAGCACTTCTTTCTTGAATCCCAGTATTCTCTCTGAGATCATCTACTTAAAATTTGAGTATCTACTTGCTATTTTGGTTCCTCCCTGTGGATAAGGCACATACTAGCTGCATCTACTCAGCCATCTTGAACCCCTCTCCAGTATATTTCTTAATGAGCAGAAAGAGCCTAAGTTTTATAAAAGACCCATTAAATATGAACAACATATTCTTCTCCGGCACTGTGTAGAAAGCAGAGCCTTTCCTCACTGCTCCAAGAAGTTTTGACTTGCATTAAAAATTAATGTTTTATTCTCAAAACAATTTTATTTTATGACTCTATGCCCATTAGTTACCTCACAGTTTTGAAGTGCTGAATTTCAGATGGAGATTGTTTCTTCATTGCCCTCTTTAAAGTCCCTTTGTTGAAGCATGGCAGCTGACTGTCACAGACTGACTCAATGCTGATGTTAATATTGTAATTATTTTGTGGACATTATTATGGATCTTGCATATTTTTAGAGTTTTATCAGTAATTTTAATCGTTGTAAGAACTCAGAGGAGCAAGTCAAACCATGGAAACCAAAAGGGGTCATTCATTCCAGATACCCTACCAAGAATGGCTTTACTGCTTGCTGTGATTTTTACTTTTCTAGGATCACCATGTATGACCTAGATTCTCTTGCTAGTGCCAGACTTTCATCTCTTATTTATATATCCTATTAATGTTTTATTGTAATAGTTGTACATCAGAAATGCTGTGTCATGAAATAGACGCTGTAGAAAATTTTATTTGTCCTACAGGATAATTCAGACATTGCTCTAACACATTTTGCCATCGCCCACACTTTTTTAGTCTGCCCTATATTTCAGTCTCAGGAGAGTAAAATCTCTACGTTAATTCTGCCCACACACTTCTACACTGCTTTTCTGTCTCCTCAGTGACAGATTTGGGTTGGCAATGCTCTGTACTGGCTGCACAACCTTATGGTATTGCTTGCATGAGAGAAGCAAACAACAGTTTCATTTTACACATTCAGCACCTCTGATCTTCAGCAGGAGCTGAAGTGTTAAACTCTTTATTAGGGATTCATGGAGACTCCAGATCTTTCACAGGGCATTTCATCCTCAGAAGGAGACCATCTGCCTTCCCCAGAATGCCTCACGGTGCCCAAGAGAGGAACAGCCAGGACATGAGGAAGTTCTCTTGTAAGTGGTGGTGAACAAATCTCAGGAGATAACCCCAGGGATATCAACAGAAGTTTAATTTTTAAAAAACTAAACATAGAAATGATTTTCTCCATTCATTGACTAAATATGATAATAGAAATAATGATAACAATGAGAATAAAGTCTGATAAAATTTATGAAATCATTGCTCTCGGTCATATGTTATGTCAAATGATATTGATTAGGGGAAGAAAACTATGGCCCACAGGCTGTCCGCTTCTTCTTGTAAATAAAGTTTTAGTGGAACACAGGCACAGCCATTTGTTTATGCATTATCTATGGTTGTCTTCCTCTACAATGGCACAGATGCAGTAGTTCTAACAGAGACTATACGACCAACAAAGCCTAAATACTTACTTATCTGGCCCTTTACAGAAAACAAATCACTGATCCTTGATATACATTATCTCAATTAGTTCTTTTGAGAACTCTGTGATGTAGGTCCCATTACTATTCTCATATAAATGAAGAAATTGAAACTAAAATGATTAGAGAATTTTCCCATGCTTACGAAGTAGGGGACAGACCCTAGGATTTGGAATGTGTTTATTTCACAATCCTATATAGGTTCTCAAGGCTTTATGGTAACCTTAGGCAAACAATTTCATCTCCTTGATCCTCAACTCCCTCATGCACAAAGGAAGGGTTCACACTGAGCAGCAGCGATGATGTTTCCCATTTACAACTTTGTGCATGTCCAGCATGATATTCATTTATTCCAAAAAGGATTTTCCAAATGCCACTCAGGAGAGGGATTTCACAGAAATAACTAGAGGAACTTTTGAAATCATCACAGGTTTACCCAGAAATTATGCCAGAGGACTATTCTCTATCATTAAATCACATAAATACCTTGTTCTCCAGAATACCATGAATCCAATTATCAGTTCTAGGCAAAGAGCTCCAATAAACACCTGTAAAATACAAAAATACAAAAATTAATGCTGGGTTTCATGACATGTGTTATTAGAGAATCTTCTGATGAGATCCTCAGAAGTCTGAAAACCCCGTTGATCTGAGCAGATTTTCTTTCCTAATTACTCCCTTCATTTCAATTTGTAGGCATTCAGGTAGCACCACATGTACTTCTCTGTGACCTGTTTGTTCTGAGATCTATTTCTTGCTCTCCTTCTCCTCTGTTCTATATCACAGTGGTGTTGACCCCTGCAGGCTGCATTTTTTAGGCCTGGCATAATTAGTGCTGGCTGAGTTTTAGGCCTGTGTGGAAAAATTAAGGAACATAAAACAGACATAATTTTGGGGGTGCTATTCACAAACTGACATCCACTCAGAGACTTCCAAGGAGAAATGTCCTTATATGGCATCTGTGGTGCTGAATGTTCTGTGGCTAAACCTCCTTCTCAGGGGACAAAGACAAGGGACAAAGAAATTAGTTGTGAATAGAATGTGTGAACAAGCCGTTAAAGAGGAAGGTCTACTACAATGCCTTTAAGGCTAAAATTTAGATGAAGATATAATGGCCATCTTTGTTGTGTTAACTGTCTCCCAGTGCCAAAGGTACTGCAGCTCCATTATTGTTAATCCTGCCAAGGGAGGAAATTACATCTTGACCCTTTGTCATTTAACGACACCTAAATGATCCTTGAAATTATAATTACTTTTATTTCTCTTATTAGGTCAATTACTGTGACTCCAGTGCTGCAGATAAGAACAAGATGACATTATGTCATCAAAGGTGTAAAATTTAGGGATTAATAATAATTGAGCCAGTGCTATAAACAGAACTATTAGTACACAGAACAGCAAGATAAAAATGTTTTAGAATTCCATTCTGTGGAAACATTTATTCAGATCATGTGGTATAAGTGGATATAACTGCAGAAAGCCTATATGCAGGAATATGTTTTTTTCAGTTGTAGTCATTTTGTTTCACCATTTATAACTAAATCAAATTACAAGATTTTTTAGTGTTGTATAAAGAAGGAACACTTGTCAAGAAATCATGTAAAAAGATTCTGTGTGAATACGATATCTATACTGTGTAAAATACAAGAAGACTTGTCACTGGGCCTTTTTGTTTTAAATTTTCATCTTTAGAAAGATAGGATTTGAACAAATGATTGCTATCAGCTCTGATTCTAAGAATTCCCAGTGTTCTGATTCTAAGAATTTCCCCATTGGATAGATCATATCTCCATGTAATTCTACTACTGACATGTATTTCAAATGAAAATCTAAACATTTATAATTATTTTACTGTCCTATTCTATAATTGATAGTGGCAGGAGGCAAACAAATGTCTAGGCAGATAGGGGCAGGTCCCCAGCAAAATCCCACCTTCAAGCTGAAGATACTTTAAAGCCTAGATACAAGTCCTGGGTAAATCCACAAACCAGACTGAGAACTCTCTTCCCATTTGGCATTCTTTACTCTGACTGATCCCCATCCTTCACCTATTTTACATCTATCTACTCTTTACTAACTGATTTTCTACACTGTTGTTGCCTGCCTTTGAGTGGTGCCTTTGCATTAGCCTTTCTTTGCATACTCACAAACCAATCAGCATGCACTCTCCAGTTCTGAGCCCATAGAAGTCCCAGACTCAGCCACAATGAGAGGAGAAACCACCCTACTGTGGAGGTGAAAGTCTGCCCCTATGTCCCTTTTCTGCTGAGAGCTGTTCCATCACCCAATAAAGTTCTTATCTACCCTCCTCACTCTCCATTTTTCAGCACAGCCTCATTCTTCTTGGATGTGGGACAAGAGCTCAGGAACTGCCAAACACAGGTACTAACTATAACACAGGTGAGCTGGGCACACCTGGCCCAATTGGAGGCTGGGCCAGTGCACAAGCCAGACTCAGCCTGGGTGAACCAAGTGAGTGGGGCACCTCCTGCAGCAGGTAGTGTGCCCAAGCAAGACCCGGGCAGGTGCATTGCCAGCCAGAGGTCCCTGGCTGGCAAAATGACCAAGAAAAATCCTGTGTCATACTGACTTACCTATTAATTCATTTATTCAATCAACATATTTGTCTATTAAAAATGCTTTTTAATGCTAATCCTGTTGATTATATTGTGCTTACTGTTGTAAGACTGGAGTTTTATTAGGAAAAATAAAAGACTTGCATTATAGTCATAAATTGTAGTGTTGTCATAAAAAAAGATTTAAATGTGAACTATATCAACCATGTGTTAGAAATGGAAAAGTCACAAATGACAATGTTCCAGCAAATGCAGTGCCAAGAGATGAAAATCATAACCTTGGCTTTGCAGCTAAATATTAATTATTCTTTCCCCAGAAAATACTCCAATAAATAGTTGTCTCCCCTATCAACTGCAAACTGCTTTAAGATTGATTTTTGTCTTTGAATATTCAATATACAAGAAGCTCATTAAAACTGAGTGATCAAATAAATTAGTCATAGAGTAAGTGAATGATGGAAAGAAAGAAAGACGTTTACCTAGTAACTTGCAGGAGGAGAATCACTTTCTTAATTTTAGCAGTGAAAATGCATATATCAAACCATAAGCTTTCAATAAGCAATTTGCTCACTAATTGAATATAATGGAGGAAAAATATTTTTGACTATGAATCAGCTAGTAGTACAGGTTAAAGATGCAAAATACTAAAAATAGGGAGCCACAACAATAAATGCAAACCAGAAATAGAAACAATGTTATTTATATATTAACCTAGTTCAAGCTGACTGATGGGTATATTGGATTTATTATACTATTTTATCTACTTCCGCATATGTTAAAAAATTCCCATAACAAAAATTACAAATAAATAGGTATGCTGAGCAGCAGGTATTATTTATGGTATCTGTCATGCTTTGCCTTGGCGATCACAGTCCATGTAGCACAGGAATTATAAAACAAACAAATCAGTCTTAGTGGTATTACAATGTAGGATTACCTTAGACTTGGGTGCTAATATATCATATATTGGTACCATTGTAATTGAAATAACACTGACAGTAAGAAAAGCAAGATAAGGATCTCATGAGAACATATATGAAACTACCAGCCACAGCAGGAGTCCAACTGAAATTACGAAAATTTGATTTCTAACTAGCTATGAAGGAGTGTTGGAAAGATAAAGGAATGACTTAAGAGTCCTATCATGGGCATCTGGATGACAGATTCCCCTCTCTGGCCAGTCTGTGATATTCCAAGGGAGACTAAGTGGCTTTGACATTGATTGACAACCAGTATTAATGGGGCCAGCTTGAAGCAAGCTAGTTGATAATCTGTGACATAATGAACTTTTAAAAAGCTAGCTTTTTCAGCTTACCAACCAAAAAATCCCAAGACCAGATGGATTCACAGCTGAATTATACCAGATATATAATGAAGAATGAATACCATTCCTACTGAAACTATTTCAAAAAGTTAAGGAGGGGGCACTCCTTCCCAACTCATTCTATGAGGCCAGCATTATCCTGATACCAAAACCTCACAGAGACGCAACAACAAAAAATGTCAGGCCAATATCCTTGATGAACATTGATGTAATAATCCTTAGCAAAATACTGGCAAAGCAAATCTAGCAGCACATCAAAAAGCTAATCCACCACAATAAAGTAGGCTTTATCCCTGGCATGCAAGGTTGGTTCAACATACACAAATCAATAACTGTGATTCGTCACATAAACAGAACTAAAAACAAAAAACACATGACCATCCCAATAGATGCAGAAAAGGCTTTTGATAAAATTAAATATCCCTTCATGTTAAAAGTGTTCAATAAGCCAGGCAATGAAGGAACATACCTCAAATCAATAACAGCTATCTATGACAAACCCATGGCCAGCATCATACTGAACAGACAAAAGCTGAAAGTATTCTCTTTGAAAACTGGCACAAGACAAGGATGCCCTCTCTCACCACTCCTGTTCAACACAGTATTGGAAGTCCTGACCAGAACAATCAGGAAAGAGAAAGAAATAAAAGGCATCCAAATAAAAAGAGAAGAAATCAAAGTATCCCTGTTTACAGACAACATGATTCTATATCTAGAAAACCCCATAGCCTCTGCCAAGAAGCTCCTTTAACGGATACACAACTTCAGCAAAGTTTCAGGATACAAAATCAATGTACAAAAACCAGTAGCATTCCTATATGCCAAAAACAACCAAGCTGAAACCAAAATCAGGAATGCAATTCCATTCATAATTGCCACAAAAAGAATGAAATACCTAGGAATACAGTTAACCAGGGAGGTGACAGATCTCCACGATGAAAGTTATAAAATGCTGCTTAAAGAAATCAGAGAAGACATAAATAAATGGAAAAACATTCTATGCTCATGATTAAGAAAAATCAATATTGTTAAAATGCCCATACTGCCCAAAGCAATTTACAGATTCAATGCTATTCCTATCAAACTACCAAAAACAGAAAAAAAATTAAAATATGGAATCAAAAAGGATCCTGACTAATCAAGGCAACACTAAGCAAAAAGAACAAAGCTGGCAGGATCATGTTACTCAACGTGAAACTATGCTACAGGGCTACAGTAACCAAAACTGTATGGTACTGGTACAAAAACAGATGCATAGACCAATAGACCAGAATAGACAGCCAAGAAGTAATCCCACATACCTACAACAAACTGATCTTTGACAAAGCTGACAAAAGCAAGCAATGGTGAAAGGACTACCTATTCAATAAATCATGCTGGGATAACTGACTAGCCATATGCAGAAGACTGAAACTGGACCCCTTCCTTATACCATACACAAAAATAAACTCAAGATGAATTAATGATTTAAATGTAAAACCTAAAACTACCAAAACTTTGGAAGATAACCTAGGGAATACCATTCTGTACATAGGACCTGACGAAGATGTCATGATGAAGAAGCCAAAAGCAATTGCAACAAAAGCAAAAATTGACAAACGAGATCCAATTAAACTAAACAGCTTTTGCACTGCAACAGAAACTATCAACAGAGTAAATAAACAACCTACAGAATGGGCAAAAAATATTTGCAAACTATGCACCCAACAAAGGTCTAGTATCCAGAGTTTATAAGGAATTTAAGCAAATTTACAAGAAAAAATAAAACAACCTCATTAAAAAGTGGTCAAAGGACATGAAGAGGTACTTTTCTAAAGAAGACATACATGCAGCCAACAGCATATAAAAAATGCTCAGCATCACTAATCATTACAGAAATTCAAATCAAAACCACAATAAGGTATCATCTCACAGAAGTCAGAACGGCTATCACTAAAAAGTCAAAAAAATAACAGATGCTGGCGAGGTTATGGAGAAAAGAGAATGCTTATACACGGTTGGTGGCAGTGTAAATTAGTTCAGCCATTATAGAAAGTGGTATGCAGAAATGAACTAAAAGAAGAATTACTATTTGACCAAGCAATCCCATTATTGGGTATATACTAAAGAAAAATAAATCATTCTACCAAAAAGAAACATGCTTGCATGCATATGTAAATTGCAGCACTATTCACAACAGCAAATACATTGAATCAGACTAAATATCCATCACTTAGAGACTGGATAAAGAATATGTGGTACATATACACCATGGAATACTATGCAGCCATAAAAAAGAATGAGATCATGTCCTTTGCGGGGACATGGGTGGAGCTAGAGGCCATTATCCTAAACAAACTAATGAAGGAACAGAAGACCTAATACCACATGTTCTTACTTATAAGTCAGAACTACACTGTGAGGACACATGGACCAAAAGAGGACAACAATGGACACTGTGGCCACCTTGGGGGTGGGGGGTTGGGAGGACGGAGAGATCAGAAAAAAAAAAATACCTGTTAGATACTATCCTTAATACCTGGGTGATGAAATAATCTGTACACCAAACCCCCATGACACAAGTTCACCTATATAAAACCTTGCACATGTACCCCAGAACCTAAAATAAAAGTTTTTTAAAAGCTAGCTTTTTCTACCTATTCTCTATACTTCTACTCCCACAATTCTCTTAATTTATTAAAGTGAAAACTATTTTCCCTATTATACACACATGTTGAAGGACCAGTCATCTAAAATGTTATTTAAAACGTCAAGCTTTTCAGCCTTTATTTGAAATACCACAATTTTTACCAACATGAAATTTCACAAATTCTCTACTATTTGGCTTACCATCGGATTTTAATTCAGTCTATGAATTAAGCAAATGGCACCTGCTAGTACCTACTGTAACTCAATAGAACAGTATCTTGGAGACCAATCAGAGAAGAAGATAGCAGCTCTTCCAGATGTTGGTCCCCAAGGTTCACAGACATCCTGAGCTCATATGCCTCCCCCAGTCACCATTGTATGCCTTTCTCAGCTTTAAGTCTTTATTGGAATAGCTATCCTCTTGTAACTCAATTTTCCCTTTAAGGCTGCCTTTGATCTCCATTTGAAACAATTACTCCCCTGGATACAAATGATAGGTACCCAGAGAAAGACATCTGATCTACACAAAGAATTGCACTCCTTCCACCAATTGTGACAATTCATAAAGATAAATATGCTAATGCCACACTATTTTAGAAAATATTTTTTAATGTTATATATATGCTGTTGAAAATGGTTTGGCAATACATGTTCTAAGAAACAAATGTGGTAAGAATAAAAGATGATTAAAGGTTTGTGTTTATGTGTGGGAGACAGCTGCATCAAACTTTATACAACAAATTATAATAGGTTTGATATTAGGAAGAGTAATTTTCTGGAGTCATAATAAGAGATTTTTCTCAAGACAGACATTTCAAATGAGATAGGACTCTAAACCCTAGGAAAGCTCTAATGGATCCAAATTCTTCCAGCTGAGGGTAGTCTTTTATGTTTCTTATCCCTTTCAAATTGATTCTCCAGTAAGACCTAATGTAATTTTTTAATCCATTTAAAAATGGATACATACTAGAAGCTTAACTTTGCGCAATTTTATTTTCCAATTTCTTAGGAAATAGGTTGGTGCCATGGTGCCTATTCTAAAAGCTCTCTGCTTCTAGTCTCTCCCTGCTCCTGTCTGTCTAGCTAACAGCTGCTGGAAGGAACGAACTTAGTACTTGAATCCTGTCACTTCCCTGTTCTTCATGGGCTAATCTCACAATAAGCCTGGCTTTCTGGCCTGTGGAACTCCACAGCTGGGGCAATTTAACATCCAACTATAGGTTCAGCTACATTCCAGACTTTAAACCAATTCCATGCCAAGATGATTTTTTATAAAACCTCACATGAAAAATATAAAAATATCTCTTCAACAGGACTAGGTTACTGATGTTATTTGGACAGTGAGGACTCCTTAACAAGGCTTTCCACATGCCTTTTATAATCCAGATCATGTTACTGCCTTGCCCTGCACAAAACCTTTGAATCACTCCCCATTGCATTTGAAATTTAACCCAGCCTATTTCTAAGGATTATGAAATGTACTACATGATTTGCCCTTCTGCTTTTGCTCTTTAACCTCATCTCCACACTGCACACAAAAGCTCACCAAACTTGCCAAACTCCTTTCATCCTTCATAGGCATTGTTAGCTCTGCCTGTGCTCTTTTCATGCTTGATTCTTTCTCTTCAAGTCTCATTTTAAAATATCACCACTTGGACTTCTCTTTCTTGGATCACTGTACCTAAAAATGTATCCTCTTTGGTCATATTACTTTCTAGTGAAGTTCCCTTTTTGCTTCCTTTAAATCAGTTACCATTTCAATTTTCAAGTGTATGTTTCATATCATTTGCTGCCTTAACCATTTTATCTTCAGAAACCAGCACATGCCTGAGATCATGTCGAACAGATGAATGAATGAATGAATGAATGAATTCTGAACATCGCAGATGCCAAATATCCACTAACCTAAATATACTGTGCTTCTTCCTCTAAACACGATTTATCTGGTCCATGAAGTTATATTTCTGCCCTATGCAATTAATCATGCCATCAACCTTCAAAACTAAGTCATTATGAGTCTAGCATTTAAGTTCCCATGTTGTCAGACCCCTAAACTCTAATGTCTGTCTTGTTTCCTACTATTTCTCAATATAAACTAGGGAGTCCTTCTGGGTTAGTCCGCTCCTTCATCAACAAACAGGCCTGGTGGTTTTTGACTACTGACTTACCTCACAGAGATAACTTCTGGCCAGAGTGTACTTCCCTCTCTTCTAACTAATGAGCCCACTGATGTAAACCTCAAGTCTCTTCAAAGAAATTCCAAACTAATAAGTGTTTAGTGATCATAGTATTTGTTAACTGTTATGATTTATGTAATGTTGTGCTCCTTTGGATACTTTTCATGTACTACTTTGGATTACTTTATTGTTATTATCTTTTAAAAGTTTACCTTAAAATGTTATTAAAATAGTCATATCTGCATTGTGTCTCCACAGCTACATTGTCACAACTTGAGAATAATCTGTCCTGTTTGTCTTTGTCTCCCTGAAAATGTCTTATACATTGTAGTTTTAAAATATCCAGTGTTTATGTAATTGATTAATTCACATAAAAAACATTCTGGCAGCCTTAACTGAAAAATCTGTTAAGTATGAAAAGAGAACTTTGTCACTTAACACTTGTCATATACAGTCACATTTTGTATTTGGAAATATTTTGGTTGACTCAAAAATTCTAATGTAATATACAAATTGGTTTTATTTGGTACTAAATAGCCTTCACACAGGCTTACACACAGACTTTTCGTTTTGTTTCAGAATGTAGAAAAAATAAATTGCTATGTACTATCACAATTAATGAACTGTAAATGGACACAGGGAGTTATTATTATCTTTTAAATGTTTAACTTAAAGTGTTATTAAAATAGGCATATCTGCATTGTGTCTCCACAGCTACATTGTCACAACTTAAGAATAATCTGTCCTGTTTGTCTTTGTCTCCCTGAAAATGTCTTATACATTGTAGTTTAAAAATATCCAGCCTCCTTCTACTTCCCCTTTCTTCTCTCTTTATCCCCTTTCTTTCTTTCTTTCTTTCTTTATTTCCTTCCTTCTTTCCTTCTTTCCTTCTTTCTTTCTTTCTTTCTAACATTTGACATCCCATGTAACTAACTCTTGCAGAATTAGAACTAAAAATTCTCTGGGAAACACAAATTAATTAATATGAAGCGAAAAGTTTAGAAAAATGAAACAAAAGAATAAGCAATAAGAAGAAAACAAAACAAATAAGTGGAAACAAAAAATGTAGAAGATTAGTAGCACTTGTTACTCCCAGTTTAAACTTGTAGTTTGATGAAAGTGACTTAAAGGTGACCTTTAGAATCACTTAAGTATTTATGTATTTTGATTATTAACAAGCATTTATAAAACAATCATTACTAAGAATAACTGGAGTTGTTTTTTTTTTTCTTATAAATTTGCTTATGTTCCTTCTAGATTCTGGACATTAGCCCTTTGTCAGGTGGATAGATTGCAAAGATTTTCTCCCATTCTGTAGGTCACCTTTTCGCTCTGATGATAGTTTCTTTTGCTGTGAAGAATCTCTTTAGTTTAATTAGATCTCATCTATCAATTCTGGCTTTTGTTGCCATTGCTTTTGGTATTTCAGTCATGAAGTCTTCATCCATGCCTATGTCCTGAATGGTATTGCCCAGGTTTTCTTCTAGCATTTTTATGGTCTTAGGTCTTACACTTAAGTCTTTAATCCATCTTGAGTTAATTTTTATATAAGGTGTAAGGAAGGGGTCCAGTTTCAGTTTTCTGCATATGACCAGCCAGTTTTCCCAACACCATTTATTAGAGAATCCTTTCCCCACTGCTTGTTTTTGTCAGGTTTGTCAAAGACCAGATGGTTGTAGATGTGTGGCATTATTTCTGAGGCCTCTGCTCTGTTCCATTGGTCTATATACCTGTTTTGGTACCAGAATCATGCTGTTTTGGTTACTGCAGCCTTGTAGTATAGTTTGAAGTCACGTAGCATGATGCCTCCAGCTTTGTTCTTTTTGCTTAGAATTGTCTTGGCTCTACTGACTCTTTTTTGGTTCCATATGAAATTTAAAGTAGTTTTTTCTAATTCTGTGAAGAAAGTCAACGTTACCTTGATGGGGATAGCATTGAATCTATAAATCACTTTGGGCAGCATGGCCTTTTTCATGATATTGATTGTTCCTATCCATGAGCATGGAATGTTTTTCCATTTGTTTGTGTCCAAAAAACAAACAACCCCATCAAAAAGTGGACAAAGGACATAAACGAACACTTCTCAAAAGAGGACATTTATGTGGCCAAAAAACATATGAAAAAAAAGCTCATCATCACTGGTCATCAGAGAAATGAAAATCAAAACTACAATGAGATACCATGTCATGCCAGTTAGAATAGCGATCATTAAAAAGTCAGGAAACAACAGATGCTAGAGAGGATGTGGAGAAATAGGAATGCTTTTACACTGTTGGAGGGAGTGTAAATTAATTCATCCATTGTGGAAGATGGTGTGGCGATTTCTCAAGGATCTAGAACCAGAGATACCATTTGACCCAATAATCTCATTACTCGGTATATACCCAAAGGATTATAAATCATTCTACTCTAAAGACACATGCACACGTATGTTTATTGCAGCACTATTCACCATAGCAAAGACTTGGAACCAACCCAAATGCCCATCAATGATAGACTGGATAAAGAAAATGTGGCACATATACACCATGGAATACTGTGCAGCCATAAAAAAGGATGAGTTCATGTCCTTTGCAGAGACATGGATGAAACTGGAAACCATCATTCTCAGAAAACTAACACAGGAACAGAAAACTAAACACCACAGGTTCTCACTCATAAGTGGGAGTTGAACAATGAGAAGACATGGACACAGGGAGGGGAACATCACACACCAGGGCCTGTTGGGGGTGGGGGGTAAGGGAGGGATAGCATTAGGAGAAATACCTAATGCAGATGACAGGTTGATGGATGCAGCAAACCACCATGACACGTGTATACCTATATAATAAACCTGCACATTCTGTGCATGTATCCCAGAACTTAAAGTATAGTAAAAAAACTAAAAATTAACAAAAAGAATAACTGGGAAAAAACATTAAAAGTTTATGATGGAACTTCACTTCCAATAATGGTGGAACAACAGAGACCATATTTATCTTCAATCTTGTTTTTGCTCGTTTATTTGGTTTTATCCTTACTGCTTATCCTTTTGTTTCATCCCGAAATGATAAAACTGTTTCCAAGTAACTTAACCACATCTCAGAAAAAAGCTATAGACTATTCACAGGAATACAAAAATATTCAGCACCCAAAAATATAAAATTAAGATTTTGGTGTCATATCAAAAATTATTAGATATTCAAAGGATTAGAAAACTACAACCAACAGTGAGGAGAAAAATTCATCGAATGAAGCCAATATGGAACTCATAAATATTGTACAATTAGTAGACAAGGATATGAAAACTCTTGTAACTATATTCTTTATATTCAAAAAACTGGAGAAAAGGATAGAAATGTTTTATAGAGGCAAGAATAATATAAAAACAGAACAAAATTTAACTTCCAGAGATGAAAAATGAAATGTCTAGTTGAAAGATACACTGGTTGAGATAAATAATATATCAGACATTAGAATAACGTATTTGAAAAGACAGCAATAAAAACTTTCGAAAATAAAACAGAGAGAAGAAAGACTTAAAGACAACACTAGAGAGCTGTGAAACAAATTGAAGCAGTCTAATGTATGTGTAATTGTAGTTCTTGATGAAGATAATAGAGGGAATGGGAAATGAAAAATATTTTAAAAAATAAAATTTCAAAATTTATGAAAATTATAAGCCCACAGATCCAAGAAGCTTGTTAAACATTAGCATTGACCATATATTTATCAACAGAAACAATGCAAATGAGAATACAGTAGAGTAACATCTTAAAGCACTGAAAGAAAAAAACTCAGCAACATAGAATTATATACCCAACAAAACTATTTTTTGAAATGAAGGTGAAAGAAGACTTTTTTAGAAATACAAAAGGTAAAAGAATTTATCAGCATAAGACTGAAGAAATCTTACAAGAAACCCTTAAGATGAAAGAAAGATCATACCAGATGGAACTTCGGGTTGCACCGAGAATAGAGTATTGGAAATGGTAACTGGGTAGGCAAATGCATATGATTTTTTCTCATTATTGAAATCTCTTTAAAGGATAACAGATTGTTTAAACAAAATTATAACAATGTAGTGTGGACTTTATACTATGTGCAGAAATAAAATGTATAATAATAACATACAGGCCCAGAGGGGAGAAACGGAAGTATATTATTACAAGGTTCTTATACTACATGTGAATTTGTATGTCACTTTAAGGTAGACTATATTATTACATATGTACACTGTAAACATAAAAGCAATAATCAAAAATAACAAAATAATTGATTGAAGCTAAAAAGCTATTAGAGGAGATAAGAAGGAATAACCATAATCTTATAAGTAATTCAAAGAAGGCAAAAAAATGAGAAAATGTAAGGCGAGAACGAATAAAACAAATATAATATTAATTGCAAGATAAATTTTAATTTTAAATAACATTAAATGTAATAGATTTAAAATTCCAATTAAAAGGCAGAGATTATCAGATTTGATTTTTTCAAAAAAAAAAGGCACAACTTAATATACCTACCTCAGATGTTTATGTACCTAGTAACAAAGGTCCAAAATTTTTGAAGCGAAATCTGATAGAACTGCAAGGAAAAAAAGACAAATCTACAATTATTGTTTGAAATTTCAAGAAAACATAGGCATAAATATTTGTGACCTTGGCTTAGAAAAATATTTCTTACGTATAATACATAAAATAAAAAATATGATAAATTTGACTTTATAAAACTTAAATAAAAGAATCTCTGAAAGAAACTATTGAAAGAATGAAGTGACAATCCTTAGAAAAGGAGAAGAAAATTTTTACGAATCACATATCTGACAAAGGATTCATATTCAGAGTATCTAAATCACTCTCAAAATCTGATAACAAGAAAATAAATCATTTTTCAACCGAGCAAAATATTTGAATAGACATTTCAGCAAAAAAAGATAAACAGCAAAAAGCACATAAGATGCTCAACAATATTAATTATTAAGGAGATATAAATTAAAACCACAGTGAGATAGTGCGACACACCTATTAGTATGGCTAACTCTAAATATTGACCAAAGAAGGTTTGTGTGGATGTGAAAGATCTATCAGTGCTATACACTGCTAGTGAAAATGTAAAATAGTACAGCCACTTTAAAACCCGTTGGACAGGTTCTTAATAAATTAAATATATTCCTATCTAATGATCCAGCCATTATGCTTTTAGGTATTTACCCAAAAGAATGAAACTGTATGTACATGAAAGTTTTTGGCAGTCATATTTGCAATACTCCAAGCTGGAAACAACATAAATGTCCATTAATAAGTAGAATGGACAAATTTAGTATACTCATACAATGAAGTCGACTCAGCAATACAAAGCAGTAAACTACTGAAACATGCAACAACATGGAGTGAAAGAAACTAGACTACATCCCCCCACAAAACAAAGAGAGAATATACTGTAATTTGATGCATGGAAAACTTATAGATCATTGCTCCAATCTGAAACCTTACTTCCCCAGAAATGATCACCAGTGCTTCAGAAAATAGCTAAACTCTTTAGAGGTTAAAACAAGAAATAAAACATAGATCTCCTTATTACTAAGTCAGTGTTTATATTAATTCAGTAGATGCTCTGTATTGTTTAACATTTCATTTCTGAGGAAATTTCATACTATTATGTAACTTTTTAGATTCCCTCTGTGAAAAATGTATGTCTTCATGGCTACTCATAGGAGGTTAAAAATAATGGTACTTTTAGCTAACATAAATGTCACAAAGTTTTTAGTACAAGAATAATATGTTGAATCTATCATAGTTATGCCCATTTGAATTAAGAATAATATGGAATTGCATACAACCCATTGAAACGACATTCTAACACAAAAGTTACACAAATAAATATAATGAAAGACAGAAAACCATGAATAACCAACAGAAGTGGAAGTAATTATCAGAGTTTAAAAGAGGGACAGAGAATTTTAAGTTGGAGAAAGTAAGAATGATTGAATGCAAGAGATATTTCATACTGGCCTATATAGTATATTTAAATACTTTATTTAAAAAATATGACATACTATTATGAGAAAACCTGGAAAAGAAGTAGAAAGAAACATACCTGAATACTCACTGCATAGTCATATTAGTGATTTCTCTGTAGTTTCTTGTTATACAATTGTTTTTACATTATTAGAGAATTAAGAGGCATATACTGGTAATTACAAATAAGATATAATTTCTGAAAGTAAAGTTAATGTATAGCATGCTTATTGTACAACATTCAGAAAAATGCAGAAATTAAACAGTATAAAAAGTATCCCAAATCTCCATCTACACAATAATATCAGGTAACATTTTGGTATATATTGCCATATTTTTTATTTCCTGTATTTTCTAACAAATTTGTTAAATGCATTATCTTGTATTAGATATATTAACATATACATAATTAGCAAAGAAGCATTCACTGGTGAAGGAGAACATTTAAAAAGGCTTACTGATAACATCTTAAATCTGAAATCACTTGGATTGTTCCAATATTATAATTTGTATTAACTTATATTACGTACTGAATACTCAACTTGTGCAGCCACTATTCTAAATGCTTTATATATAAACTAATTAAATTATTATAAATGTTAATAGATCAGAAAACTATGGCATAAAGATGGATAAAACTATATTCGTATTCCTTGGTAATAAAAATGTTAAATATATATGTTTATGCAATTTTACTTCATGAAAGGGCATTATTGGATTTATCCATTTTATGACAAAATAGACACAATTTTTCATTTTTATGATCCTATTGTGTAAATAGTTTAGACTTTTGGGGGGTGAGACAGAATATTTCTAGTCATTGTTTTAAATGATTATCAAATATAGGAAGAAATTCCACCTGAATTGTGTTGATAAATGGTTAAGAATGATAGGTAATTTGTATTATGGTTATCTCCAGTGCTCATTAAAAGGTGATATTCAGAATATTTCTCATTATTAGTGAATACGAGAAGATTCCATACTGGGCTATCAAATCACACTAGGTTTTGGGAAATTATTCAAGGTACATTCTAAAACCCATAAACTCACCACCTTACCATAGAAAATGCTAACGCTAATGCATTACCATTGCTCAGGACAGAGAATCAGGGCATGTACTATAGGCTTTTACCAAACAGAAAGTTCCAACTCTTCCAACTCCTCTACTTTGTACCCAATGGTTACCTGGTTTTAGTTTACCTCTGAAAGTTTGGCAAGTAGAACAAGGAAGTAAAATAATTAATGCTATTCATTATTCTACTTTCTTTTCTATTTTGCCTATTACTTTTCGTTTCATTCTATTGTAAACGTTTTCTTCTTAATATCTTCTTTCCTTATGGTTATTTATGCCTTATTTTAACTTCCATGCCTTCTGTTTTCTGATCAGAGTTCCATACAAGTGTCTAAATAAGTCTTCTGATTTCTGTGATTGTTTTCAAAGTTCAGCGCTTGTACTCTAAGGCCTTTGTTTCCTTTAGAATTCTTCAAGCTAGTGCTATTTTCTTTTGTTGTATACTTGTGTTTGTTTATTTGCTTTAATTTTTAATTGGCACATAATAATTGTACATATTTATGGGGTGCAGAATATTTTGGTACCTGTATACGATGTGTATGATCAAATCAGGGTAAGTTAGCATCTTCATCACCTATTTGTGCTTGGAACATTCAAAATGCTACCCTACAGATACTCAAAAATATACAATAAATTACTGCTACTATAGTCACCCCACAGTGCTATATTCTTTCTATCTAGAATTTATTCTTCCTATGTAGCTATAATTTCGTATCTGTCAACCAACTTCTCCCTATACTCCCCATTCCCCTACCCTCTTTAGCCTTTAGCAACCACTATTCTACTCTCTACTTCTATGAGATCATCTTTTTGAGACTGTAAGACATTATATTAAATGAAACAAACCAGGCACAGAAAGATAAATATTGCATGTTTTTATTCATATATTCTGTAATATTTTTATTGATTTTATTGGTTCAACTTTATTTACACATTTTTGAGAAGGTAGGTCTATAGATCTTGTGATTGGACCCCTACATTACCACATGAATATGAGGATAGTAAACTCTCACATCATCTTTCTTTCACTTACAGAGGATAATCTGGACACCCTGCACCTAAGGATGCATTTTGATCAATAGATGTAAAAAGCATTATTTCAAAATTTCGACTGTTTATCTGTGTAACCAGAGTATATCTACCAAAGGCAGAAAATGCTGTCATTTAAAATAGGATTGTTAAACATCCCCATTTCATAAGCACCCATGGACCTCTGGATAGAGTATAAAGGCAGATATTGACTAGGAGGCATAATGATGTAAGGTGTTATCACTTTTGCAAGGGTATAGGCATATTTTGTTAAACTTAGAGAATGATTTTTAATATTTATCCAGACACTGTGATTTTCTTTAAACTAAGATTTGTTCTTTGGAGAGAGAGTGTATGTGTGTGGGCACACACGCCAGGTATGTTGCTATGTTGCTGCGTGTATATCTGTGTGTGTGGCAGCATGCACACATGCAGTCATAAGTGAGGTCTGTGTTTCAGACGTTCATTAGCTGATGAACATTCATTACATGCCAAACAGCATATCTGTACTTTACACTAGTAGTGAATATGGATGGACTTGGACTATCAAAGCCTCCCTGAAATTCCACAGGTGCTCCTCCTCCATTTTCTATATATTTTTGCTACACCAAATGCTAATTTTACAAAATGAGCTGTTAGGTGTTATTTTGTCTTAGACATTGCATTTGAAATAGTAGATGGCATCAAGCCTTAAGAGCAAGATATTAGGAGGTGGTAAAGACTAACCCTGAAAAAGTTTGAAGAAGGAAGTCCTCAGAGACCAGAGGACACACACTAATGACTGAATATGTCTATACAGGGCATGCTTTCATGCTGTGTTTAAAATATGTTGTGCTTTCCTTAGTGATAGAATTTTTAAAATTTCCCCTCTATCTTGTATTATAATTCATTTTGTTTACTTTCAGTCCTACAATAGAATTTAATATGCCTACTCCCTTATATACAAGAATGGTTAAAAAATTAAGGAGAATAGGAAAGGTTAAGAATGGCTCCCCTGACTTTCATGCACCTGCTGAGGTTCATGTAGAGATACCACCGCTGTATCATGCCCAGGTGTTCCAGGTTGTGATTTGCAATAAAATTCACTTGTAGTGAAGGGCTACACAGGAGATTTTTGGGTAATGAGGCAAAGGTAATATCATGAGCCACCAGGTAAGCAACAAGGCCATGCTTTCATAAATATACTAAAACTAGGTAACCATTTGGTACAAAGTGGAGGAGTGGCAAGAGCTGGAACTTTCTCTTTGGTAAGAGCCTACAGTACATGCCCATATGATCTGTCCTGAGTGATGCTAATGCATTAGCATTAGCATTTTCTATAGTAAGATGGTAAGTTTATGGGTATTAGAATGCGTCTTGAATAATTTCCCAATACCTAGTGTGGCTTTGCTACATCAGTATGGAATCTTCTGCTCTTCCAGGTGAATGGCTTCTTAATAGTCTCAGTGGACCCAATCTATTAAAACTAAAATCTTGAGAATATTCTTCTACCAATGTTCTTCCTATCTTAGTTATGGCAGATCTTAACTTGAGAGGATAGTCACAGATCAGCAGATGGAGACTAAGATCAGTCCCTACTTCCAATTTTCTGCTACTGTTTTTTTTTTCTAGAAGTATGATATCCAAATGATTATAAGTGTAGAGAAAGGCTACTTTGGCTGTGTTAAAAAGAACCTTCAGGGAACAGAAGGATGATAGCTGACTTTCCAGTCTGTTACAGACCTTATTTTGCTGGACAAAGACAGGTTTACTCAGTACAACTGTAGCAGAGTCTACTAATTGTTGCCATTGCCCTTCCATTGGTCTTGAATTTAGTGAAATTCTTTTCCTGATTTGGAGGGTGGCTCAAATGTTATTCCTAATTTGGAAGGGCTGATTATGTTTTTATCTTTTTTCAAAATTAGAAAGCTGTGAGAATATTACACGTAAGATGGAATACGAACCTATGCTAGAACTTCAGGAAAGTGAACAGAAGCAGGCAGATGGGGTAGAAATATAATTTAACAAATGGAAAAGCAGAATCTATGAGACTTAATATGTATCAGATATAACCATGAATGCCCAAAAATAAAAATTTAAAAAGGAAAAATGCCACCATGATTTCAAGCCTAAGAATCTGAGATAAATCTGATTGCCATTAATGGAATAAGAAAGTCAAGAAGATTTGTTTCGGAAGTAAGCAAGAAATAATAAAGCTGTAAAAAATGATTTTGTAAAGCTAATTCTAAATTATCTGCAAATTATTCCAAAGTCAGAGTAAGGTAGAAGATTTTTTACTATAATAACTAACCTCATTGGGCTGTAGTTGCTTCAAAACTATGGAATTAAGGAATAATGTAAAGCTATATATATTAGTTCAATCTGTCATCCCTATTTCTAAACTATTTCTATATTATTTTGTAAATACAATGGAAACATTCAACCAAAGAGCAAAACTGGACAAATCTCCACCTGGCATCCTTCCTTAAGTCCACATTGCTTTAGATAGATATTTGACAAAGCCCCAAGCAATAGAGGTCATGCCACCAAATGTGAAAGAACCTCACTTCCTTTCTATATTTTCCCATTGTTCTTATGTGGTAGAATTCATGTATGTTCCAAGTATTATTTTGTTATGATCTTCTTGTAGTAAAACAACTACTTGCTAGGAAAGTCATCTTTAAAACATTTGGATATGCATAAAAATATTACAAACCCAGTTTTAGAGAAAAGTACACATGTGATTTTCCAAGGTATATTTCTGGGTAACCTGTGGCTGAATTTTGAGAAATCCAGGCAAAATAATGCTGTACTGCTGTAAAAATTATCTAATATTTTAAAAGCAGGAATCACCAGCAGATTGCTATTTAAAAGAGCCATTCTAGGATTCAGCAATATTGATACCATGTCTAATTCTGCAGTCTTCTTAAGAGTGAAGTAACTTATAGAGCTAAGACATTACTTTCTTGATATCACTTCTTTGGTAATACAATATGGTCAATTTTCGCAAAAGTATTTATATTCCCTTTTAAAAATAAAGTATAGGAAAGAAATTCAACGGAATGAAGACATATTTATGCCAACAGAAATGTTTTTCAATGGAGCCATCAAAGATAGTACAATATTTAGGAGAACTTTACTGTTAAAAAATTATTCATTTAAAATAATCATCTGACAGTCTTCAAATCAGAATACCTATGTTTAAACTATTGCTTTATGTTTTTGGGATACTTTTATTTAGCTTCTTGGAATCTTAGTTTTCTCAGGCATAAAATGAAAACTATATAAACTTGTTCACTGTACTTTCATATATAGCCCAAATTCATTGAATCGGCCTCTTTTTCCACTCTTATCTAGTCTCTACAGCACCATTATATTTTGTGTGGATTCCCATGATAGCTTCTTAACTAGTATCTCTGCTTCTGTATTTGCCATGTCTGTTCCTTTCCTGCAGTTTCCACCTTCTATATAGCAGCCAGTATGAATTTTTCAAAAATACAAATGAGATCCATTCCCTTCCCTGTGCAAACCATCCAATCGTTTTGCATTACATTTAAACTGACTCTCCTTGCTCTGACTTACTATCTGACCTTACTCTGACTTACCTCTCTGACCTTATCACTTAACTATGCTTCAACCACACAGGTTGAAGCATTCAACCTGTTCCTGGTATTACTTCCAGTTCCTGGAATTTCATTCTTATTCTAGGGTCGTGGCACATAATATTCTTCCTGCTTGGAGTGCTCTTGGAGTGTTTCCAAGTCTGGCTTTTTCGCAGCTCAACTATCACCTCCTCCATATGCCTTTCCATACTCCTCAATCTGTAATCAACTTTAGCTTTCTTCAACTCCAGGAATTACCTAACATGTTACTTTGTATTTTTTTCTTTATAAAACTTACCATAACCTAAAAATGTTAACATGTTCGTTTGCTTGTTTATTGATTGTTTCTTTCCACTGGAACCTAACTCCTTCTGAACAACTATCTTATCTAGCTTATTTAAGTAGCTATTTATGGAATAATCTACACTCCCAGAATCTAGAGCAGAGGCATAAACATAATATATGCTGAAAAAATATCTGTTAAAT